>NW_014040930.1:0-155930 GCF_000001405.40 Homo sapiens | reverse complement strand
GATCCTTTCTGAATTAATAAATTTATTACTTGTTTTTACTAAACTTATTTTGTTCAGCTTTTCAAGGAATGCCAGTTCACTCTACTGTTTTCAGGGTTTTTAAAAAATCAACTTGCTTTCAAAATCAAAATATTAGATTTTAACATTCCAGCATAAATCTTTTTATATAAATAAAACTTTTGTTGATGCTTTTGGTTTTTCATACGCCTATATTTAAGGGGTAAATCTTGAAAATATTACTAAGGAATTGGAATTGACATCTAATTATAGTAGTTGAGATAATATATTTATGTAATCCCTTTTAGAGAAGTTTAATAAATATTTTTCAACAGACAAAGCATTATCTCTACTTTATTTTTTTTTCTATATTTTGATACTAGCCCGTCCTGTATCTGTTGAAGAAGCTTTCTTAGTGATTCGTTAGGAAATTCTCTTTCTGGAACCCAGTGACAGTGCAACTCAAGTAGCGTCTCTACTAATGTGAAGTCACAACACTGATCATGTAGAACTCATGTATCTGATTTCATTAGCAAATTAGTAGATGGTGTAGGTTTCTAAGGAAGAGTGAACTAATGCATTCTCTTTGCTTTAGTTTACATTAAATCATTAGGGAATAGGGAAATAGGAAATTTTTTCTTTTGCCACTTATAAATGAATAAAGCCTTAGTTTTTGTTTTGTTGTTTTTTTCCTATGGCCCCCTGTCACTTGAAGGCCTTAGTTTTATAAACCAGTATTTTGCTTCTCTTATTGACCTGATTCAGTTTATTAGCCTTTTATTAAAATATATACTATATACTTCATAATATTTTATTTTTGTTAAACATTTGACTCTACTAAATTAAATATTTGAAAAAATCTCACTATAACAGTATTTTTATTCTAGAGTTAAAATGGTTGTATGAAAATAGTTATTTTTGTTAAAATAGTTTTATATATAGGGATAATTATATACGTTTAAAAATGCCAAGATTGTTACTCTAGTGTTTCAGTTAAAAAAGCTTTTAAAGGCTGGGCACCGTGGCTCACACCTGTAATCCCAACATTTTGGGAGGCCGAGGTGAGCAGCGGATCATGAGGTCAGGAAATTAAGACCATCCTGGCCAACAAGGTGAAGCCCCGTCTCTACTAAAAATACAAAAATTAGCTGGGCATGGTGGTGCGTGCCTGTAATCCCAGCTACTTGGGAGGCTGAGGCGGGAGAATCGCTTAAACCTGGGAGGTGGAGGTTGCAGTGAGTCGAGATGTGCCACTGCACTCCAGCCTGGCGACAGAGCTGGACTCAGTCTCCAAAGCTTTTAAAACTGTCTTGTGTGTGGATAAAGGTGATTTTTAAGAATATTTTATAAAATATTACCGAAGTTTATGTTTGTAGGTGTTAGCTCTCCCAAAGACTTCTTGAATAGTTGTTTCAGACGGGTTTAGGCCATAATTCTGAAAGAGACAGTTCTTTTTTTTATTTTTTTCTTTTTTTTTTTGAGATGGACTTTCGTTCTGTCGCCCAGGCTGGAGTGCAGTGGTGCTCGGCTCACTGCAACCTCTGTCTCTTGGGTTCAAGTGATTCTCCTGCCTGAGCCTCCCAAGTAGCTGGGATTATAGGTGCGTGCCACCACACCCGGCTAATTTTTTTGTATTTTTACAAAAAAAAATACAGGTAGAGACAGAGTTTCGCCATGTTGCCCAGGCTGGTCTTGAACTCCTGACCTCAGGTGATCTGCCCACCTTGGCAGGGTTTTGCCACGTTGGCCAGGCTGGTCTCAAACTCCCGACCTCAGGTGATCTGCCCACCTCAGCCTCCCGAAGTGCTGGGATTACAGGCATGAGCCACTGCGCCTGGCCTAAAAGACACAGTTCTTGATGCCATAATCCCAAATACTGAAATCCCAAAATATCGAAATCCAAACAATATAATTCTGGAAAAAATAATTTTAAAACATTATTTAAAAAATACTTATTTGGGCCAGGTGCGGTGGCTCACTCCTGTAATCCCAGCATGTTGAGAGGCCTAGGTGGGCAGATCACTTGAGCTCAGGAGTTTGAGACCAGCCTGGCCAACATGGCAAAACCCCGTCTCTACTAAAAATATAAAAATTATCTAGGCATGGTTGCAAGTGCCTGTAGTCCCCGCTACTCGGGATGCTGAGGCACGAGAATCACTTGAACATGGGAGGCGGAGGTTGCAGTGAGCTGAGATCATGCCACTGTACTCCAACCTGGGTGACAGAGTGAGATTCTGTCTCAAAAAAAAAAAAAAAAAAAAAAAAAAAAGACACTTGTTTGGCCAGGTACAGAGTCTCACACCTGTAATCTCAGTATTTTGGGAAGCCAAGGTGGGCAGATTGCTTGAGCCCAGGAGTTCAAGATCAGCCTGGGCAACGTGGAGAAACCCTGTCTCTACAAAAAAATACAAAAATTAGCAAGCTAGCGTGCACCTATAGTCCAGCTACTTGGGAGACTGAGGTGGGAGGATCTCTTGGGTCTGGGAGGCAGAGGTTGGAGTGAGCTGTGATGGCGCTGTCTGGGCAACAGAGCAAGACTTTGTCTTCAATAAACAAACAGAAAAACCACTTATTTACCTTTTTTAAAGGGGATTTATTTGAGAAACAAAAACATGACAACACTTCATAGGCCACTTAATATAGTTTGGATATGTGTCCCTGCCCAAATCTCATGTTGAATTGTAATCCCCAATATTGGAAGTGGAGGCTGGTAGGAGGTGATTGGATTATGTGGGTGGATTTTTCATGAATGGTTTAGTACCATCCCCTTGATGCTGTCCTCGAGACGGTGAGCGACTTCTCGCGAGATCTGGCTGTTTTAAAAGTGTGGCACCTCACACTCTCTCTTGCTCAGTCCTCATCATGTGATGTGCCTGTTCCCCCTTTGCCTTCTGCCATGATTGGAAGCTTCCTGAGGCCTTCCTGGAAGCAGGTGCCACTATGCCTCCTGTACAGCCTGCAGAACTGTAAGCCAATTAAATCTCTTTTCTTTTAAGTATTCCTTCATAGCAATGCAGGAACAGCCTAGTACACCACTTTACACAATAAAATAGTAACAAATGTATTTTGCAAGTTTAATCACTCAGTATACTAACCGTAGTTGCATGGGTGTTACATTTTGTAACTGTGGTCCTCTGAAATACCATGATGGACAAACTAGGTCTTTTGATGAGGTAGTAAAAACAAGGATGGGTCATCACTGTGTGTGCAGTCTCCTGAAGAGCAGAGATATTGTTGAATTTTATCTTTCACAAAAACAGTATAAAAAAAGGACATCTCATTGAAGGTTCACCTTTTTTTTTTTTTTTTTTTTTTGAGATGGAGTTTCACTGTTGTTGCTGAGGCTGAAGTGCAATGGTGTGGTCTCGGCTCACTGCAACCTTTGTCTCCTGGGTTCAGGCGATTTTCCTGCCTCAGCCTTCCAAGTAGCTGGGATTACAGGCGCCCCGCCACCACGCCTGGCTAATTTTTGTATTATTAATTTTTGTAGAGACAGGATTTCACCGTATTGGCCAGGCTGGCCTCGAACTCCTGACCTTGGGTGATCTGCCCGCCTTGGCCTCACAAGTGCTGGGATTACAGATGTGAGCCACCGTGCCTGGCCAGTTTCAACTTTTTTTAAAGAGACCATAGTCTTCTAGCTATGTTGCCCATGCTGGAGTGCAGTGACTATTCACAGGCATGATCATAGTGCACTTCAGCCTCAAACTCCTGGCCTCAAGTGATCCTCCTACCTCAGCCTCCCTAGTAGCCGGGACTGACTACAGGTGCTCCACCACACCTGGCTTCTACGTTTTGATGAACACAGCCAGAGCTTACACATGAAGTCAGTGTTGTGATAATGCACTTCTGTGGAGTTCAGTTTGCAAAAAAAAAATGCATAGAATTAATTAGAACTCTCCAAAAGTCTCTACACAATTTATATCTCCAGTATTAGAAATGATGTGAAGATAAAATATATAGCATAGCAAATTGGCACTATGTGTGAAGGAGCAGAAATAATACACCATTGAATAATTTGGCAGGGGAGATTTCTTGTATTTTTTGCCTGTATTTTCACTTCTGCGATCTTCAAAGCACTTGCTCCAGTTTTATTTGCAAAGTGGTTGTGATCCACAAATTTTGTAAGTATATACTGTCTATTTGAAAGCCTGATTATTGCCTGGCCGTTGCAATTTCTGCTTTTGCAGCACCAGTGATAATTAGCTTTTAAACTTTTATCTTTCGCCATTAAGTAGCCGTGTACACTTATCAGAGCCTTTTTGCGAGGGAAGAGTTTCACAGATCTCTTCAATTGTGCTGTAAAGAATAAAGTAAGAAGAACTGATACTCAGCTTCCCCAACACCAAATCTGCATTAGTCAGGGTTCCCTAGGGAGACAGAACCAATAGGATATGTGTATAGATATGAGGGAATTTATTAGGGGAATTGGCTCATATGATTAATGGTGGCTGAGAAGTCCCATGACAGATCATCTGCAGGCTTGAGACCCTGGGATGCCAGTAGCATACCTCAGTCCAAATCCAAAGGCCTCAGAACCAGGGAAGCTAATGGTGTTATCTCTCGGTCCAAGGTCAAAAAGCCTCAGAATTCAGGGGGCCACTGGTTAAGTCCTGGAGTCCAAAGGCTGGCAAGCCTGGAGTTCTGATGTCCAAGGCAGCAGAAGAAAAGTCTGTTCTAGCTCTCAGCAATTCACCTTCTGTGTACTCCCTGGGCTCCTGGCTGATTGGATGATACCCACCAACATAGAGGGCTCTCCTTGCCTACTCAGACTCGCACACTAATCTCTGAAAACATCCTCACAGACACACACACAACACAGTGCTTTACCAGGTTTCTAGGTGTTCCTGTCAAGTTGATAGCTAAAATTAAGTCCACAAATCTATCCTCGGCAACTTGGTACCCATAGGCATCTCCTTAAACCATACTTAATTTCCAGATAATGACAATAGCAAGGTCATAGTTCCACCTAGCATGGTGTAACTATTGTGTACAACCAAAACTATGCAAATTCCCTGCCCCAAAATTCGGCTTTTGGGATTTCATCATTTGGGATTTTAATCTTTTGGGGTTGTGGTTTTAAACATTAGGGATTTTTAGACTTTAGTCTTTTGGGATTTTAACATTCAGGATTATGGCATTTGGGATTATGATTGGTACTGATTGCAGACAGTTTTTGCTAAATCTAGTGTTTAGATATAGCAGCAAAATAATTTCTATGTATATTTAATCACTGATGTAGTAAATCAGTAGTTAATATTTACAGATCCCTTACCCAGTACCAGGCACAGTGCACGTTTTATATTCATTATTTAATTCTCTCAGAATAACCCAATAAAGTCAGTATTTTATCTGTAAAACGGGGATAAAGAAACAGACTGAAGAGAGATTCATTCATTTGGAAGAGGTTCCTCAGCCACCAAGTGATAGAGCCAGGGCTGGCATGCAACTCTATGTGGCTTCAAAACCTGTTTCTCCCTTTTAGTGTAAAATGTATACTTTGTAAAAATGTACACCATGTGGCTGCTGCTTTCTCCCCACACTGACAGGCTTTCCCTGCCCACCTGAGCCCAGGCAGCGCCCACATGAGTACGTGCTCTCTCCCTCAGCCCTGTTCTCCCTTCACAGCAATTATCTGACAGTCTTGTCTTGTATCTGTTTCCTTCACAAAATGTAAGCACCATGGGATGGAAACTTTGCCTACTCCATCCCTGTCTGCATCCATGTTTCCTAGAGTAGTGCCTGACACACAGTAGGAGCCAACATATTTGTTGTAAAGGCTATGAACCAGAAGGTTGTATCAGTCTACAATATTCACTTTTTAAGTCACTTCTGTAGAACAGACTATTAATTTTTTCTTTCTAGTTAGTGATTTTAAGTGAGGAAATTGAAGAGAGGTGTCTTGAAGAGATGCGGAGGAACCAGTCAAGTAGGAGACAGGTCAAGGCTTGTGGAAGTAGAGATTGGTAGTGGTTTAAATGAGCATGGTGCTGGACCTGCCTGAGCTCTTGTAGCTTCGTGAATAGTAACCTTTCTTCCCCAGTCCCTGGTCTAGTGTCTTCCCAACTACTGCCAGAAAATCTTCTGAAAGGTAGCTCTTGTCGTATCCTTTTCATTTGTGTACTGAGTTAAATTTAGACACCTTGCCTTGGTCTTCAGGGTTCCATGGTAGGACCCTGCCCTGCCTCTCTAACCACATCTCCTGGTTTCCCCAGTTGTATCCTCTGCTGCAGCTCGGTGTCCCCAGAGGTGCCTTTATTTCCAGGTCTGGGTCCGTGTCCTCTTTTCTGTTCTCCATCTTATCTTTTTTTTTTTTTTTTTTGAGATGGAGTCTCGCTCTATCACCCAGGCTGGAGTGCAGTGGCACCATCTCGGCTCACTGCAAGCTCCGCCTCCCGGGTTCATGCCATTCTCCTGCCTCAGCCTCCTGAGTAGCTGGGATTACAGGCGCCTGCCACCACGCCAAGCAAATTCTTATATTTTTAGTAGAGATGGGATTTCACCATGTTGACCAGGCTGGTCTCTAACTCCTGACCTCAGGTGATCCACCTGCCTCGGCCTCCCAAAGTGCTGGGATCACAGGTATGAGCCACCGCGTGCAGCCTGTTCTCCATCTTTTGAGATAGTTATATTTCAAGGCCTTTCTCAAATGTTACTTTTCTCCATGAAATCTAACATTCCCTTAACTGGATGTTTCCTTCATGACGTTTGTAATTTTCTGGTGCACCTTTAATCTTTGCTTTTTGCTTTTTATTATACCTTTCTTTTTTCCTTTTTTTTTTTTTTTTAATTTTTTGAGACAGAGTCTTGCTCTGTCCCCCAGGCTGGAGTGCAGTGGCGCAATCTCGGCTCACTGCAACCCCTGCTTCCCAGGTTCAAGCAGTTCTCCTGCATCAGCCTCCCAAGTAGCTGGGATTACAGGCACCCGCCACCACGCCTGGCTAATTTTTGTATTTTTGGTAGAGATGGCGTTTCACCATGTTGGCCAGGCTGGTCTCAAACTCCTGACCTCGTGATCTGCCTGCCTCAGCCTCCCAAAATGCTGGGATTACAGGCGTGAGCCACCGTGCCCAGCCTATTATACCTTTCTAAATGTGTTCTTGCCCTCCTTCCCCAGTCCTCCCTGAGGGCAAGATTATGGTATTGGCACTTGCCGTATCCTCTACGGTGCATTGAACACATGAACAAGCAATCATTTTAGAGGTAGAGAAAAACACGTACGAGAAAAAGGCAAACAATGGTATTTAGTTTTGGTGTAGGGAAGACTTGTCCTTTTCCAAGGATTAGTTTTGGTGGTCAGGAAGCTTTTTGAAGCCAGGAGAAACAATGTAGGTAAAGAATTAAGTATATTGAGGCCAGGCCTGGTGACTCATGCCTGTATCCCAGCACTTTGGGAGGCCGAGGCGGATGGGTCACTTGAGGTGAGGTAAAGAGTTTAAGACCAGCCTGGCCAACATGGCGAAACCCTGTCTCTACCAAAAATACGAAAGTTAGCTGGGCGTGGTGGCATGCGCCTGTAACGCCAGCTACACGGAGGCTGAGGTAAGAGAATCACTTGAACCTGGTAGGTGGAGGTTGCAGTGAGCCAAGATCACACCAGTGCACTCCAGCCTGGGTGACAGAGTGAGACTCCATCTCAGAAAAAAAAGAAAAAAGAAAAAGAATTAAGCAAATTGGGTCTAGTATTTTAGAGTAGAAGAAAAGAAACCAAATGGGGAAACGACTGAGAAGCACCATTTTTCAGAGTTTGGGGATGAGTCCTAGTACTTGTCCTCAGGGTGTTCAACAGTATTGTGTGGGAAACAGACAACTAGATCATTGATAATACGTTGTAAAAATTTGACCATAGAGCTGGCTGTGGTGGCTCATGCCTGTAATTCCATCTATTCAGGGGCTGAGGTGGGAGGATTGCTTGAGGCGAGGAGTTGGAGACCAGTCTGGGCAACGTAGTGAGACCTTCTCTCCAAAAAATACATAAATAAAATTTAAAAATAAAATTGGCCATAGAGAGGGAAAGGCGCTAGAAAACATTGGTTAATTCTACCAAAGCTTAGTAAGAGCTAGTGATCTTAGCAAAATTGAGGTCCTGAGCAGGTGGGCAGAAAGGTTGACATCGCGCTGGAGGAAGCTGTCTTAGGGTGAATACATGAATTGTCTTGACCCCCTTAAAAGGGCATTGCAGAAGGTATCACAATATTTTAGGAAGATGATGGTGAAAGGTTAGTTTTTAGTACTAGGACTCAGTTCTTAAGGGAGAAGTAGGTCAGTGTTCAAAGAAACAATATTTAATTTAGTGTTAGAAACCTCCCAGATAGCATCTTGTTCTTCCACGTTTCATGTTTTTGCAGGGCCGAGATGAGTAGCCATGGGAATGAGACAGGAGTAAAGGAGGCTGGACACAGTAGTTGACGCCTACAATGGGATGCTAGGTGGGAGGATCACTTGAACCCAGGTGTTGGAGACCAGCCTGGGCAGCATAGTGAGACCTCGTCTCTACAAAATTAAAAATAGCCGGGCATAGTGGTGCATGCCTGTAGTCCCAGCTACAAAGAGAAAAAAAGGAGTAAGGGAGATAACTAAAGGGGAAGACTATGTAATGAATTACTTGCTCTTGCATGTCCTAGGTTCTTCTCAGTTACACCTTTTTAGAGATTTTTTTTCTTTTTCTTTTTCTCTTCTGAGACAGGATCCGGCTCTGTTGCCCAGGCTGGAGTGCAGTGGCATGATCACGGCTCACTGCAATCTCCGCCTCCCAGGCTGAAGCAAATCTTGTGCCTCAACCACCCCAGTAGCTAGGATTACAGGTGCGCACCACCATGCCCAGCTGATTTTGGTATTTTTTTTTGTAGAGATGGGGTTTCGCCATGTTGTCCAGGCTGGTCTTGAACTCCTGAACTCAAGTGATCCTCCTGCCTCAGCCTCCCAAAGTGTTGGGATTACAGGTGTGAGCCACTGCGCCCAGCCAGATTTTTTTAAATTGATATGAAATTCACGTGACAAAATTAATCATTTTTAAGCGAACACTCGAGTGGCGTTTGCTGCATTCACAATGTGTGCACCCATAACAACCTGTATCTAGTCCCAAAGTAAACCTGCTACCCATTAAGCAGTTACTCCCCTTGCCCTCTTCTGCCAGTCCTTTGCAACCACCGATCTGCTTTCTGTTTTTAGATTTACTTCTTTTGGATATTTCATTAGATGGAATCGTACAATATGTGACCTTTCATGTCTGACTTCTTTCACTTAGCGCGTAGTGTTTTGAGATTTATCTACATTGTATTGTGTATGAGTACTTCATTCCTTTTCATGGCTGAATACATACTCAGTTTTATGTATATACCACAATCTGTTCATCCGTTCATCTGTTGATGGACATTTCGGTTGTTTCCACCTTTTGGCTATTTTGAATAGTGCTGCTATGAACATGTGTGTATATCTATTTGTTTGGATACCTGTTTTCACTTATTTTGAGTATATACCTAGGAATGGAGTTGCTGGATCGTGTAATTCTGTATTCAACTTTTTGAAGAACCACCAGACTTTTTCACAGTGGCTGAATATTTTATATTCCCATGTGTGGCCCAGGCTGGAGGGCAGTGGCATGATCGTGGATCACTACAGGCTTCACTCACTGGGCTCGAGTGATTCTCTTGCTTCAGCCTCCCAAATAGCTGGGATTACAGGTATGTGCCACCATACCTGTCTAATTTTTGTATTTTTATAGACAGGGTCTCACCATGGTTGGCCAGGCTGGTCTCCTAACTCCTGGCTTCAAGTGATCCAGTGTGCCTGGCCCCCACCAGCAATATGTGAGGGTTCCAGTCTCTCCACATCATCACCAACACTTGTAATTTTTTGTTTTCTTTCCTATAGCCATACCTATGGGTATGAAGTGCTGTGTCATTGTGGTTCATTTTTCCTGATACATTAACTTTTTAAGAGAAATGTTAGTAGACTTTATTGCTTAGAGCAGTTTTAGGTTTACAGAAAAAATGAGCAATAAGAGAGTTCCTGTTTACCCTCCCTCAATCCAACCATAGGTTCCACTATTACTAATATCTCATATTAGTGTGGTGCATTTGCTACACTTGATATACAGTATTGATATTTTATTATTAACTCAAGTCCAGTTCATATTTGACCTTTTTTTGTTTGTTTTTGAGAGGGAGTCTTGCTCTGTTGCCCAGGCTGGAGTGCAGTGGTGTGATCTCAGCTCACTGCAACCTCCACCTCCAGGGTTCAAGCGATTCTCCTGCCTCAGCCTTCTGAGTAGCTGGGATTACAGGCACCCACCACCATGCCTGCTAATTTTTATATTTTTAGTAGAGACAGGGTTTCACCGTGTTGGCCAGGCTGGTCTCAAATTTCTGACGTCAAGTGATCAGTCCACCTCAGCCTCCCAAAGTGCTGGGATTACAGGCGTGAGCCATCATGCCTGACTTTTTTTTTTTTTTTTTTTTTTTTTTTTTGAGACAGTGTCTTGCTCTGCCAGCCAGTGCAGTGGTACAATCATAGCTCGCAGTAACCTTGAGCTGCTGGATTCAGGTGAGATTACAGGTGCTAGCCACAGCAACTGACTTGAGTTCATTCTTTGTTGTATATTCTGTGGGTTTGGACAAATGCATAATGTCTTACATCTGCTAATACAGTATTATACAGAATTGTTTCACTATCCCAGGAGTCACCTGTACTCTCTCCGTATTCATCCTTCCCCCTCTTCCCTTGGATCCTTGGTAATCATTGATCTTCCTACTGACTTTACAGTTTGGTGTTTTCCAGAATATTATATAGCTAAAGTCATGTAGCCACTTCAGATTCATGTCTTTCACTTAGCAATAATCATTTAAGGTTCCTGCATGTCTTTTTTCTTTTTTTGAGACAGAGTCTTGCTCTGTCACCCAAGCTGAAGTGCAGTGGTGCGATCTCCACTCACTGCAACCTCTGCCTCCTGGGTTCAAGTGATTCTCCTGCCTCAGTCTCCCGTGTAGCTGGGATTACAGGTGCCCACCACCACCCTTGGCCAAGTTTTGTATTTTTAGTAGAGATGGGGTTTCACCATGTTGGCCAGGCTGGTCTTGAACTCCTGACCTCAGGTGATCCGCGTGCCTCAGCCTCCCAAAGTGCTGGGATTATAGGTGTGAGCCACCTCGCCTGGCCGGGTAGAGAGATCTTCACAGTTGAAAATACCTCTTCTAAATCCTTGACTTTGAGCTCCTCACGTGCTGAGAGTGTTGTAAGTTCGTCTATATAGTATACCCTATGATAACCCCTAATATGACCACAATAGATATTTAATTGTGGTGGTACTATACTTACAGAACAGGTTCATGTTATTTTTGGAAGACATTCTAGATAATAGAGACCATCTGTTTTGTATTCACCAAGATTCTTGATTCTTTGGTGATATCTCTTATTTGTTCTGGAAAATTCCCAATACTTCTCCTCACTTACTGCCTTGCCTCCATTCCCTTCTCATTCTAAGAGTCCACCCATACAGGGATACATTCAACCTTGTAGTCACCCTTTCTTTTCTGTTTTTTTTTTTTTTTTTTTTTTTTTGAGGCGAAGTCTCGCTCTGTCGCCCAGGCTGGAGTGCGGTGGTGCGATTTCGGCTCACTGCAACCTCCGCCTCCTGGGTTCAAGTGATTCTTCTGCCTCGGCCTCCCGAGTAGCTGGGACTTACAGGCACTTATTACCACGCCTGGCTAATTTTTTGTATTTTTAGTAGACACGGGGTTTCACTGTGTTAGCCAGGATGGTCTCGATCTCCTGACTTCCTGATCTGCCCGCCTAAGCCTCCTAAAGTGCTGGGATTAAATGGCATCCATTACAAGTGTTTTTTTTCTTTTCTATTTTTCATTCTGGGTAGATTACTTTGACCTGTTTTCAGTTAATCAGTCTTCTCTTTGACTAATCTGCGTTTTTTTGAGACAAGAGTCTCACTCTTTCGCCCAGGCTGGGGTGCAGTGCAGTGGCACGATCTTGGCTCTCACTGCACCCTCTGCCTCCTGGGTTCAAGCAGTTCTTGTGCCTTAACCTCTCGAGTAGCTGGGACCACAGGTGTGTGCCCCTACACCTGGCCAATTTTTGTACTTTTAGTAGAGATGGAGTTTCACCATGATGGCCAAGCTGGTCTTCAACTCCTGGCCTCAAGTGAGCCACCTGCCCCAGCCTCCCAAAGTGCTGGAATTACAAGTATGAGCCACCGCGCCAGCCGATTAATCTGCTTTTAATTTAATAACTCAATGGATAGTTCTTACCAATATCTTACTGTATTTTTCAGTTGTGATTCTTTTCAAGTCTGCTACATTGTTTTTTATGGATTCCTGTTCCCTGCTAAATTTTTCAAACTTCGCTTTTATTTCCTAGAACATACTAAATATAATTCTTTTATAGTCTCCTGATATCTCCAGTATTTGGAGTTCCTTTGGATCTATAACTGCCTCTCATGGTTCTTACTCATGGTACTTTGTTCATATGTTTGTGTGCTGGACATGGTATTTGAAAAATTGTTTATAGAAATAATTAGAGGCTTTGGGTGTGATGTCTTTTTCCAGGTGACTGACGGCACTAGCCAACGAGGATCATTTTAATACAAGTTGAAGCCCAGGCGCGCTGGCTAAGGCCTGTAATCCCAGAGCACTTTGGGAGACTGAGGCAGGCAGATCAGCTGAGGTCAGGAGTTCGAGACCAGCCTGGCCAACATGGTGAAACCCCCTCCTTACTAAAAATACAGAAATTAGCCGGGCGTGATGGCGGGTGCTTGTAATCCCAGCTACTTGGGAGGCTGAGGCAGGAGAGTCGTATGAACCCGGGAGGCGGAGGTCGCAGTGAACTGAGATGGCGCCACTGCACTCCAGCCTGGGGGGGACAGAGCAAGACTCTGTCTCAGAAAAAAAAAAAAGTTGAAGATTTGAGTTTTTTATGGACTATCCAGATGGTTTGAAGCTGAGTCCATGGGAGGGCTTATTTACTTCTACTTCAGTCTTACTCCTAGGATGCAGCCCTATGGGGCCTCAGTTCACAGGTTCGCTGGGGTGAGGAGCGCGTTACTGAGTTATGAGTTATAAGTTATCTCCTATGCAAGGCCTTGGAGTGAGCCAGGCACTTTCTGGGCCTCCACTGGCAAATCAACAAATGCCCCCAGGTCTTGCCTCTTTCTTTGGATTTCCATCTTTTTCAGGATATTAATTTGGTAATATCTCACTATCTTGTTAGATTTTTGTTACTTTTGGAAAGATGTATATATATTGTATCCAGTTTTTTGTGCAGTTATTTAGTCTGTATTACTGTAAACAGAAAACAAGGTCTTATTTTCATGGACTCATGTTATTCTAACATTAACCTTGAAACAAGTGACCATATGGTGAGTGATACTATTATACTGTATTATTGTTTATGTCTCTGTGTGACACTGTTAAGATGCCTGAATTGTTTGGGTAAACCAGGTGGTATTGGTTGGTGGGTGCTTTAAGACTCACTATCTAGAGCATGATCTCTGCAGCCAGTCGCCTGATTTTTGAATCCCAGCTCTGCCCCTTGTTTGCAATGTGACGTCAAGCAAATGACTATTCTGCCTCTGTTTCGTTGTCTAGAAAATGGAAATAATAATTGTACCTACCTCGTGGGTGGCTGTGCCAGTTAAATTAGTTCATAACTAAAGCTTTTAGAACATTGCCAGACTTACAGTAATGATTAGATAAATTTTAGCTATTATTATTACCACCTAGAAGCTTTGGAAATACAGGGATACCTCATTTTATTGCATTCTACTTTATTGTACTTCACAGATATTGTGGGATTTTTTTGTTTTATAAATTGAAGGTTTATTGCAACCCTGCATTGAGCAAGTCTAAGTCTGTTGGTGCCAATTTTTCAACAGCATGTGCTCACTTTGTGTCTTTGTGCCACATTTTGGTAATTCTCCCAATATTTTAAACATTTTATTCATTTTATTTTATTTATTTTTGAGTCGGAGTCTCGCTCTGTCTCCCAGAGCTGCACTGGAGTGAAGTGGCGCCATCTCGGCTCACTACAACCTCCACCTCCTGGGTTCTAGCGATTCTCCCCCTCAGCCTCGTGAGTAGCTGGGATTACAGGTGTGCACCACCATGCCCGGCTAATATTTTTATTTTTAGTAGAGGTGGGGTTTCACTGTGTTGGCCAGACTGGTCTGGAACTCCTAACCTGAAGTGATCTGCCTGCCTCAGCCTCCCAAAGTGCTGGGATTACAGGCATGAGCCACCACACCTGGCCTGAATATTTTAAACTTTTTTTTTTTTTCTGAGAGAGATTTTCACTCTTGTTCCCCAGGCTGGAGTGCAATGGCGTGATTTTGGCTCACTGCAATCTCCGCCTCCGGGGTTCAAGTGATTCTCCTGCCTTAGCCTCCCGAGTAGCTGGGATTACAGGCATGCGCCATCACGCCCTGCTAATTTTGTATTTTTAGTAGAGACGGGGTTTCTCCGTATTGGCTAGGCTGGTCTCGAACTCCTGTTCTCAGATGATCCACCCGCTTCGGCCTCCCAAAGTGCTGGGATTACAGGCATGAGCCACCGCGCCCAGCCTTAAACTTTTAAAATTGTTATCTGTCATGAAGATCTGTGATCAGTGATCATCGATGTTACTTTTTTTTTTCTTTTTTGAGATGGAGTCTCGCTCTGTCGCCCAGGCTGGAGTGCAGTGGTGCGATTTCGGCTCACTGCAAGCTCTGCCTGCCGCGTTCACGCCATTCTCCTGCGTCAGCCTCCCGAGTAGCTGGGACTACAGGTGCCCGCCATCACACCTGGCTAATTTTTTTGTATTTTTAGTAGAGACAGGGTTTCACCGTGTTAGCCAGGTTGGTCTCAATCTCCTGACCTCATGATCCACCCACCTCGGCCTCCCAAAGTGCTGGGATTACAGGCGTGAGCCACCGCGCCCGGCCTGATGTTACTTTTGTAATTGTTTTGGAGCGCCACAAAGCACTCCCATATAAGACGGCGAACTTAATATATACATGTTGTGTATAGATGTGTGTTCAGACTGCTGCCAACTGGGTGTCCCCCCATCTCACCACCTCCTCAGGTCTCTCTGTTACCTCAGACACAACAGTATTGAAGTTAGGTCAGTTAATAACCTGATCATGACCATTAAATGTTCAAGTGACAGGAAGAATTGCACATCTCTCACTTTTAAATCAGAAGCTAGAAATGATGGTTTAGTGAGGAAGGCATGTCAAAAGCCAAGATAGGCTGAATACTAGGCCTATTGCACCAAACGTGGCCAAGTTATGAATGCAAGAAAAGGTTCTTGAAGAAAGTTAAAAGTACAACTCCAGTGAACACATGAATGAGAAGAAAACGAAACAGCTTATTGCTGATATGGAAAAGTTTTAGTGACTCAGATGGAAAATCAACCAGCCGCAACATTCCCTTAAGCCAGAGCCTAATCCCAGAGCAAGACTTTCTCTTTTCACTTCTGTGAAGGCTGAAAAAAGTAAGAAGCTGCAGAAGTGAAGTTTGAAGCTAGCACAGATTGGTTCCTAAAGTTCTTGAAACCATCTCTGTAACATTAAAATGCAAGTTGAAGCAAGTGCTAATGTAGAAGCTGCAGCAAGTTATCTAGAAGATGTAGCCAAGATCACTGATGAAGGTGGCTATATTGAACAGATATTCAGTGTAGCCTTATGTCAGAAAAGATGCCATCTAGGACTTCCATAATTAGGAGAAGTCAGTGCCTGGCTTCAAAAGACAGGCTGACTGTTATTAGGAGCTGGTGTAGCTGGTGAATTTAGGTTGATGCCAGTGCTCATTTACCATTCTAATAATTCTAGGGCCCATAAATTTATGCTAAATCTACTCTGCCTGTGCTCTGTCAGTGGATCAACAAAACCTAGATGACAGCACATCTGTTTACAGAATGGTTTAATGAATATTTTAAGGCCACTGTTGAGACCTACTACTCAAAAGATTTCTTTCAGAATATTACTTCTTGACAGTATACCTGGTCACCTAAGAGCTCTGATGGAAATGTATAAGGAGATAAATGTTGTTTTCATGCTTGCTAACACAACATCTATTCTGCAGCCCCTGGATCAAGGAATCATTTTGATTTTCAAGTCTTATTTAAGAAATATGTTTCATAAGGCTCTAGCTGCTATACATAATAATTCCTCTAGTGGGTCTGGGCAGAGTGAATTGAAAACCTTTCGGAAAGGATTTACCATTCTAAATGCCATTAAGAACATTTGTGATTCATGGGAGGAGGTCAGTACATGAACAGGAGTTTGGAAGATGATTCCAGCCCTCATGGATGACTTTGAGGGGTTCAGGACTTCAGTGGAGGCAGGAACTGCAGATGTGGTAGAAATAGCAAGAGAACTCGAATTAAAAGTGGAGCCTGGAGATGTGACTGGATTGCTGTAATCTCATGATAAAACTTGAACAGATGAGGAGTTGCTGCTTATGGATGAGCAAAGAAAGTGATTTATTGAGATGGAATCTACTCCTGATGAAGATGCTGTGAACATTGTTGAAATGCCAATGAAAGATTTAGAATATTACATAAACGTAGTTGATTAAGCAGTGGCGGGGTTGAAGAGAACTGACTGCAGTTTTGAAAGAAGTTCCACTGTGGGTAAAATGCTATCAAACAGTTTGGCATGCTATAGAAAAATCTCTTAGAAAAGGAAGAGCCAGTCGATGCGTCAGACTTCATGGGTGTGTTATTTGAAGAAATTTGCCACAGCCACCTCAGCCTTCAGCAACCACCACCCTAATTAGTCAGCAGCCATCAACATGGAGGCAAGACCCTCCGTCAGCAAAAAGATTAGGACTCCCTGAAGGCTCAGATGATTGTTAGCATTTTTTAACGATAAAGTATTTTTTAAATTAAGGTATGAACATTGTCTTTTAGACATAATACCATTTCACACTTAGTAGACTGAAGTATAGCGTACACATATAAAAGTTAATATGTGCTGGAAAACCAGAAAATTTGTGTGACTCGCTTTATTGCCACGGTCTGGAACCAGACCCACAATACCTGCAATGTTATGCTTGTGGCTGATTTTTCATAGAATGTTTGTGTCTCTTTGACTTTTTTATTTTCAAAATTTAGGATTGCAGGTGACTCTCCATTGGCTTATTTCAGAATGACTGGGGTTAGGGTGTTTGCTAATTGCATGCCAGTGGTCAGGGAAGAAGGGAAAACTCTTGCACTTTAGAGGCCATCTGCCTCCAAGTAGAGCTCCAACTGTCAGGCCACTGTCCCTCTGTGGGGAGGGTGGGGATTGGTCCTGTGGCTTGTAGTTCTTGCCATATAGATTAAGAATGCGCTCCGTCGGCATTCTTCATTGTGAATTAGAGGATTGATGAGGATTTAACCCTGCTGTGATTTCTATGAATGGACTGTAGATCCCAGGGTGTGGGATCTTTCCTAACTCGAGAATGACAAAAATTACCTGTCACAGAGTGCTGTTACACCAATCAGTAGTTATTTATTGTGTTTTTTAGGGTTTATTTTGTTTGTTTGATAACCTCTTTTCCATTTTTTTCCTTGTTGTCTTTTACTTGTTTTTTTGTTTTTGTTTTTGTTTGTTTTTTTGAAGTGGAATCTCACTGTCACCCAGGCTGGAGTGTGCAGTGGTGAGATCTCGGCTCACTGCAACCTCTGCTTCCTGGGTGTACAAGCAAGTGATTCTCGGATTACAGGTGCCTGCCACCATGCCCAGCTAATTTTTGTATTTTTGGTAGAGACAGGGTTTCACCATGTTGGCCAGGCTGATCTTGAACTCCTGACCTCAAGTGATCTGCCTGCCTCGGCCTCCCAAAGTGCTGGGATTATAGGCGTGAGCCACCATGTCTGGTGTCTTTTACTTATTTTATTATTGGTTCAAGTTTTTACCTGAGAGAGGGAAAGAGGGTGGTAATTCTAACAGTGATAATTTTGATTTATATGGTACTTAGCTGTTTGCAGACTTACTGTGGGACATTCCCGTGTGGTGGCAAGGTAGGTTAACTCCACTTTTGCAGGTGAAGAATGTGAGACATATGGGTTAAATAACTTGCCCAAGTCACAGAACAAGTGGCAAGACTAGGAAGTATTTAGATTTCTTAATTCTAAATGTAGTACTTTTTCCAACAGATGACCCAGAAGAATCAATAGAAAACAAATTTAATAGTGGAAGCAATTGTATGTACAAATAAAATTGTATTTTTTGTTCACTTCGCTTACTAAAATAAAATCCTATTTCTAGATGATTTTCTAAACATGTTTTTCTTGGTCTCTTTGTTCAAGTCATTTAGTTTGACTCTAGGTAAGATAGTACTACTCAATGTTCTTTCTGTCACTTCAGGAGAGAGATGGTGTGCACCAGTTGATACCCAATGTTCCCTTGTTCTTCTCCCTGATATTACATCAGAGAAGTCCCCAGTTGAGAAGGGAGGAGGAAAGTTTTATGGTTACTGTTCCTCAAATCTCTTGGGAAAGACAGCAAACTGCTGTCAGGAGTAGTTTTCTTTTGTCTCAGTGTCTGTTACATTTATACATGGCACCCTCCTTATCATAGTTATGGCTTGCACCCTAAAATAAGGTCTAGAGCGACAGACATTTACAAAGTTCTTTTTTTTTTTTTTTTTGAGACAGAGTCTCATTCTGTTGGCCAGACTGGAGTGCAGTGGCACGATCTCGGCTCACTGCAACTTCTGTCTCCTGGGCTCAAGCAATTCTCCTGCCTCAGCCTCCCGAGTATGTGGGACTACAGGCATGCGCCACTATGCCTGGCTAATTCTTGTATTTTTTTTAGTAGAGGTGGGGTTTCACCATGTTGGCCAGGCTTGTCTTGAACTCCTGACCTCGTGATCCGCCTGCCCTGCCCTCCAAAAGTTCTGGGATTTACAGGCGTGAGCCACTGCACCCGGCACAAAGTTCTTATGCTACCGAAATGATCTTTTTGTTCTTCTGACCCTAATTATTAGGTTTTCTGACCCTAAATTAATTTGCTAATTCTTGATGCTCTTCTTGGATACTTAGATGTAACTATTTCACCTTAGTTTGGAGTTAGCATTTTGATGTTTTTAATATATTTGAAATAATCCTGCAAACTATTTTTTGGTTTGGGCTTTTAAGTGGGACGCTCAATCTTCAGAAGGACTTTTAGCTTATGGACACTTAAAAAAAGCAAGAACTAGCACATTGTTTCTTGGTATTTTGGAATTGTGGTGAGTTTGAGGCAACCGTGGAAGTGTAGAGTGTGTTGACTCACCTCCGCTCCTCCTAACTCCTGTGTTCATTTCACAGGAATTAATCGTCCAGACAATATTCCTCCCATGCCTGCATCCCCAGCCATATGGAGAGGACCCCATAAACTGTAAAAAGGTTCATTGGCTTTTATCTGGAGGGGACTAAACCCATAGAACTCGGTTCTGCTTTTTGCTTCATTTGACAGGTTGACCTATGGTGTTGGTACGTCCAGTAAAATCAAGTCTAAATGCTTTGGTTGACTGCATTTCTCATTGCTTTGCTCAGGAAGGCCAAGGACACATTAAAATCTGTTTGTCCCCTCCTATATTTTCTTTCTAAGGTTGTTAGCCAGCACTTTTGTTTTACAGTGTGTTTTTGTTTGGACTCGACTTCTGCTCGTAAATTAGGATGTGGTCAGTTAAGAGCATTTTGAATTTTAAACGTGTCTGTTTCACTGGTTTTGTGTCTCCATGTTTATGTATAGGGAAAGTAAGTTTTCATGTTTTTACATTTTGTTTGTACTAAACTTAAGTGCTTTCTTTCAAGGGCTAGAGGCATTGAAAGTAATTTTAAAAACTCTAAAGAAACCTTTTTATTCTCATTGCTTACATTTTTAATAACAAGTTAGGTAGCTTTTATTCTTCAGAAGTGGGATTTATTATGTAAAGCCACTTTTTGGAAGAGGTGAAAATTAACCTGCCTTTCCTTATGCCTCAGTGAGAGGTGAGGTTCAGAGCAGAGAATGCAGGTAGGGATTATGGAAACCCTTTCTTGGTATTAATTTTCCTCACAGATTAAAACTTTTGGTCTTCATCTGTTACCTTTACATTTGTCAGAAAGAGAATTTATATTGTCAACTTAATTCACCCAGTGTTCGATTGCTTGCTCTGTGCGTGGCAGTAAGAGAACTAAGGTCCCACGCTGTGGGGGAAATAGAAGGGTAGATAACTCTGGTAATGCTTATCATGGCTTGTGTTCTAGGAAGGTGTTAAGGGAAAAGTGCGATTTGCACTGGACTTGAAAGGTGAGTGGTATGTCAGCAAAGCTGGTATTATTCACGCAGAAGGACCAGGCTGAACAAACGAAAAGGTGCAGAAGGTGCCTGCTGGGTGTGCTGGGAATACACAGAACATTGCTAAGAACAGTAGAAGTTAGGGCACATTCCTTGTTAGTCCCAGCCTGTCTTCCTTACTGACTGGCTGTATAACCTTATGAGAGTTACTAAACTTTCTGAGCCTTTGTTTCCTCATCTGCAGAATGGCTAGTTACTGCATAATAGAGTTAAGATTAAATGAGACTATAATATATTGCATTGCAGCTGGGTGTGATGGCTCACACCTGTAATCCTAGCACTTTGGGAGGCCGAGGCAGGTGGATGACTTCAGGTCAGGAGTCCGAGACCAGTCTGGCCAACATGGTTAAAACCTCGCCTCTACTAAAAATACAAAAATTAGCCGGGTATTGTGGCACAAGCCTGTAATCTCAGCTACTTGGGAGACTGAGGCAGGAGAATTGCTTGAACCAGGGAGGCAGAGGTTGCACTGAGCCGAGATTGCACCAGTGCACTCCAGCCTGGACGACAGAGGGAGACTCTGTCTCAAAACAAACAAAAAATATTGCATTGCACATAATTTAAACACTCAATAAAAGTAGTTGCAATTATTGTTTTCTTTTAAATTTTATTTGTTTTAAAATTAGCATGTTGGTCAAACTAGTTTTTTTTTTTTTTTTTCTTTTTGGAGACGGAGTCTTGCTCTGTTGCCCAGGCTGGAGCGCAGTGGCACGATCTAGGCTCACTGCAAGCTCCGCCTCCCGGGTTGCTGGGACCACAGGTGCCCGCCACCACGCCGTGCTAATTTTTTTGTATTTTTTTTAGTAGAGATGGGGTTTCACCGTGTTAGACAGGATGGTCTCGATCTCCTGACCTCGTGATCCGCCCGCCTCGACCTCCCAAAGTGCTGGGATTACGGGCGTGAGCCACTGCGCCCGGCCGATCGAACTAGTTGCTGAAAGATGACTATGCCCTGTAATCCCACCCCCAAAACATCTGTTGTCAGCAGTTGAATGAATATCAGTCGTCTTTCTAATTTTCATCTCTGGCACCTTTGGTGCTGGTGGTACGTTGTTTTTTTTTTGTTTTGGTACAATCATGCCTCAGTTAACAACAGAATATTTCTAAGAAGTGCATCATTGAGTGATTTTTGTCGTTGTTCTAACATCTTAGGATGTACTTACACACACCTAGCCTGGGTGTAGCCGACTGCCCATCTAGGCTATGTGGTATAGCCTATTGCTCCTAGGATACAAACCTGTACCGCATGTTACTGTACTGAATGCTGTAGGAGATTGTAAAAGAGTGGTAAGTATGTATCTGCATATGTCTAAACATAGAGAAGGTACAGTAAAAATAAGGTATAAAAGATAAGGAAGTTGTTCTGGGTGAGTCAGTGAGTGAATGGTGAATGAAGGTAAAGGCCCAGGACGTTACTGCACACTACTGTAGATGTATAAACACTGTACATTTGGACTACACTAAATTTATTTTTTAAAGTTTTCTTGTTTTGATATTATTAACCTTAGATTACTGTAACTTTTTTTTTTTTTTTTTTGAGACGGAGTCTCTCTCTGTCGCCCAGGCTGGAGTGCGGTGGCTTGATCTTGGCTCACTGCAAGCTCCGCCTCCCGGGTTCACGTCATTCTTCTGCCTCAGCCTCTCGAGTAGCTGGGACTACAGGTGCCCGCCACCACACCTGGCTAATTTTTTGTATTTTTAGTAGAGACGGGGTTTCACCGTATTAGCCAGGATGGTCTTGATCTGCTGACCTTGTGATCCACCCGCCTGGGCCTCTCAAAATGCTGGGATTACAGGCATGAGCCACCAGTCCCTGGCCAGATTACTGTAACTTTTTTACTTTAAAAACTTTAAAAATTTGTAACCTTTTGACTCTTGTAATAACACTTAGCTTAAACCACAAATACATTGTGCAGCTGTTCAAAAATATTTTCTGTCATTGTGTTATTCTATAAACTTTTTTATGATTATTATTAATTACTCTTAGAGATAAGGTCTTACTCTGTTCCAGGCTGGAGTGCAGTGGCACAGTCATAGCTCCCTGTAACCTCAAACTCCTGGGCTCAAGCAACCCTCACTTAAGCCTCCTGAGTAGCTAGGACTACAGGTGCATACCACCGTGCTTGGCTACGTTTTTTTAGTTTTTATAGAGCTGGAGTCATGCTATGTTGCCCAGGCTGGTCTCAAACTCCTGGCATCAAGCAATCCTTTCTCCTCTGCCTCCCAAAAGTTCTGGAATTGTAGGTGTGAGCCACCAGGCCTAGCCACTTTATAAGCTTTTTTTTCTATTTATTATCATTATTTGAGACAGAGTCTTGCTGTGTCGCCCAGGTTGGAGTGGAATGGTGCAGTCTCAGCTCACTGCAGCCTCCATGTCGCGAGTTCAAGCGATTCTCCTGCCTTAGCCTCCCAAGTAGTTGGTACTACAGGCACACGCCATTACACCTGGCTAATTTTTGTGTTTTTTTTAGTAGAGACGGGGTTTCACCGTGTTGGCCAGGCTGGTCTGGAATTCCAGACCCCATGTGATCCACCCACCTTGGCCTTCCAAAGTACTGGGATTACAGACGTGAGCCACCTCACCGAGCCATATTTAAATATTTTTTATTTTTTATTTTTTCACTTTTTAAACACTTTTGTTAAAAACTAAGACACAAACACATGCATTAGCCTAAACCTACACAGGGTCAGAATAATCAATATCACTGTCTTCCAGCTTCACATCTTGGCCCACTGGAAGGTCTTTAGGGTCAGTAACACACATGGAGCTATCATCTCCTATGATAACAGTGTCTTTTGTTTGTTTGCTTTGGTTTTTTTTTTGAGACAGTCTCTCTCTGTCGCCCAGACTGGAGTGCAGTGGCATGATCTCGGCTCACTGCAACCTCCACCTCCCAGGTTCAAGCGATTCTCTGCCTCAGCCTCCTGAGTAGCTAGGACTTATAGGCACATGCTCCCACACCCAGCTTTAGTTAACTATTTTTATAAGTAGAATACATAGTATACATAACATAGAATTCTACATAGGATATGTAAACCAGTAACATAGTTTATTTTCAAGTATTATGTACTGTACATAGTTGTATGTGCTATGCTTTTATACCACTGGCAGTATATTAGGTTTACACTTGCATGACCATAAACAAGGAGGTAATATGTTGCATTATGACAGCTACAGCATCACCAGGCAATAGGAGTTTTTCAGCTCCATTGTACTCTGATGGGACCACCATTGTGTACGTGGTCATTGTTGACAGAAATGTGTTATGTAGCACGTGACTATTTTTATTGCTGTTGCTTCAACTTTAAGGTGTTTGGGAGGCAGGGAAGGGAAAGCTGTGTGGTACACCTGGAAGACAAGTCTGCATGTGCTGTACTAATAATTGGGAGCCAGTGAAGGTTTTAAAATAGGGGGTGAATTAATCAGATCTTTTTCAGTAAGATGCTGAAATGCAAGCTGGATTGGAGGGAAGTCTAGTAGCAGAGCAACAAGTGTTTGCTTGGCTGCTGTTTGAGGACCTTGTAGATGTGAGACATGTTTGTTACATGCCTTCAACAATACATGGCTCAGCTGGGGAGATAAGGCATTCATACCAAGTGGGGAAATAAGGACACAGCCACCAGGTAATGGTGTATGGACAAGAAGTGCTGTAGCTGTTTGGGGAAGGCAAGATCACCAAGCTGAGCCGTTTTCCTGAAGCCTTCAGTGAGGAAGCCAAATGGCCTTGAGGAATGACTCAGATTTGGAAAGTGTTTTGGGGAGAGGCCAAGCACAAATCAAGAGGTCGGAGCGCATGGTCTGTGTGGAGTGGTGGGTTTGGCCAATAGTGAGCAGTATGGTTGGAAAGGAAAATTGCCGTGGCCTTCAACAAACCTGTTGTTACGCACCCTATCTTCTGACCCTCTCTCTTCACTGTACTGTACCTGCGTTACTCTCTTGCAGTTTGAGGCTTTTCAGGATAGAACAGTGTCCTAGTTATTTTCCCAGGTCTAGTAAACAGCCCAGCACATAGTAGATGCTTAAAAACAACAATAAAAGAATGATTGGATATTTGCTGTTTATGGAAGTTACAGACTGGATATCCTGCCGTTCCCTTAAACTTAGATCTCAAATAAAATCCTAATATCACCTCTCTCCTTCCCTTTTTTATTCTGTGCTAAGTTTAAACAGGTTAGGTGCCCCTCTGCTCCCACAGCTGTGTGCTTACCTTGCCATTCCATAATTATGGACATCTCTGCTGTGATCATACTGCATGACTCTCACCAGCACGTTGGATGTCCAACATGTCACATTTGCTTGGGACCCCCCCACTGCCTTTCCTCCTTCCTACTTCTTCACTCTCCTTTTCTGGCTTCTTTTCCTCTTCTCCACCTTCTAAATGATAGAGTGATTGCAGGGATCAGTCACTCCAAGTTAGCCTCTAGACCAGTGGTTTTAAATCTTTTTGTTCAGCCATACCAAATGCCGGACAAGTACAAACACACTACACCGTCTTGTGCACACAGACACAACAGAAACAAAAGTTTCACAAAACGGTTCTTATACTTCATGAGCCGTGGACTCTGTTATTTTCCATTCTGCTCTATTTCATTTTTTTTTAAGTGCTGTTCATGACCCACTAAATTGATTTCACAGCCTGCAGTTTGAAAAACTGCTCTGGGTGATCTCATCTACTCTGTTGGCTTTAAATACTACCTCTGTGCTAATGACCTTCCCATTTTTATCTCTACTCCACCTTTCCTTGGAGATCCTGTCGCATTGGCTGTCTCCCTGCTGTTTCCATGTGGATGTGCAATGGGAATCGCGTGTTGCCATGTTTGGCAAAGCACTCTTGATTCCCTTTACCAGCCTCGTTCCTCTTCACAAATGGTGCAGTGTTTGCAGTTGTTCTGTAAGGGATGGTGAATGGAGTACAAGCTCCCCAGTCACTGCCTAAGCTCAGATCTGAGGCCTTGGGCAGCTACACAACCTCTCTCTACCATGTTGTCTTCATT
This sequence comes from Homo sapiens, assembly GCF_000001405.40. Taxonomy (NCBI): domain Eukaryota; kingdom Metazoa; phylum Chordata; class Mammalia; order Primates; family Hominidae; genus Homo; species Homo sapiens. The sequence goes on along the minus strand of NW_014040930.1, from coordinate 130,642 downwards.
TGAATAAAGTGGGGTTGTCACTTGTACCTCTTGGGATTATTGTGACAGTTGAATGAATTTTCACCTGAAAAGACATGGAGCAGTGGCTGGCACATGGCTTGTGTTTAACTAGTGTTGGCTGCTGCTGTTTATCATTGTTGTTATGACTCTCATGTCCACTTCTGATCCGTTAGCAATTTCTGTTGGCTCTGACTTCAGACTGTGTCCGTTTTGACTGTGTGTCACTACCTCCATCAACACCACATTCACCCATGCAGCCAACGTCCCTTAACCAGACTACCAACTAACTAATTCCCTGCTCTGTCCTTGCCCCTCCCCTGGTCTGTTTTCCACAAAACAGCCAGAGGAGCCATTTAAGAACTGAAACCAGATCATGCCACTCTATAGTTTAAAACCCTCCAAAGGCTTCTAATAAAATCTGAACTTCCCCATGTGGCTCTTACTTTTTATAAGACCTTTCACTGGTACTTCACAAACAGTAACATATGTGTGACTTGCTAGTGACCTTGTTAACATGCAGAATCTGATCCTGTAGGTCTGTGGGGCCTGAGACACTACATCTCTAATAAGCTTGACCAGGTGAATGTGGTAAATATCAGCAGTAGTGGGATGGGTTGCCATCAGTCTTCTTCTTATGCAATGTCCTGGGAAGAATACAGCACCATGTGTCTGGTATTGCCGCTAAGGAAGCATGACCTGAGTCTGGTCACGAGGAAATACAGATCAGATTGAGGGTTATCCTGCAAAATGAAAAGACTGTACTCTGGCAGGGACATGGAAGTCAGGAAGAGAAAAGGGAACTATTCCAGATTGATTGACACTGGTGAGATGTAGCTCTGGGGTAGACTCCTGGACTAGAAAGGAAAGACATTGTTGGGACAGCTGACAAAATTCAAATGGGGTCTATGGATTGGATTGAGAGTGTAGTATCAGTGTTGATTTCCTGATGTGGAGGCTTGTATGCTGGTTATGGAGGAGAATGTCCTTGTTTTTGGAAATAACGCACTAGAGTATTGAGCAACAATGGAGCTTCATGCCTTCAGCCTGCTCTCAAAGGGGTCAGGAAAAGATAATGGAGCAAATGAGGTAAAGCATCAGTTGGAGAATCTCGTTGAAAGAGGGTATGTGAGCCCTTTGAACTATTTTTGCACTTTTCTGTACATTTGAAGTAATTTAAAATTACTATTTTTTTTTGAGAGAGGCTGTTGCTCTGTCTCCCAGGCTGGAGTGCAATGGAACGATCTTAGCTCACTGCAGCCTCCAGAGTTCAAGTGATTCTTGTGCCTCAGCCACTCGAGTAGCTAGGATTACGGGCATGTGCCACCATGCCCAGCTAATTTTTGTATTTTTAGTAGAGACGGGGTTTCACTGTAATGGCCAGGCTGGTCTTGAACTCCTGGCCTCGTGTGTTCTGCCTGCCTTGGCCTCTCAAAGTGCTGGGATTACAGGCGTGAGCCACCACGCCCAGTCTTAAAAATTATTTTTTAATATCCTATTGAGATTTTGACTGGAACCTATTAGAATTTTATAAACTAATATGTGGAGACTTAACGTCTTTACAATACTAGCCCTTTTTATCTAGCTATACCATTTGTTCTGCTAGTTTGTTTCTTTCCTTTTGTTTTGAGCTTTTTTGGGTTGTTCAGTGAAGTCTCTAATTTTCATATAGCTTTTGCCCACTTCTGCTTTGGATTGGTCATTGATATCTTTTGAATTTTAATTCAGAATTGTATTTGTTTGTTTTATTATTATTTCTTTTTAAGAGACAGAATCTCACTCTGTCACCCACGCTGGATGGAGTTCAGTGGCGTGATCTTGGCTCACTGCAACCTCCACCTCCTGTGTTCAAGCGATTCTCCTGCCACAGCCTCCTGAGTAGCTGGGATTATAGGTTTCCGCCACCGTATGTGGCCAGTTTTTGTATTTTTAGTAGAGACAGCATTTCACCATGTTGGCCAGGCTGGTCTTGAACTTCTGACCTCAGGTGTGATCTGCCTGCCTCAGCCTTCCGAAGTGCTGGGATTACAGGCTTGAGCCACCAGGCCCGGCCTCAAAATTATATTTGAATGAATTATAAAATGGAACATCCTTTTAGCCTATAAGTGGCAACACTAATTACCTCCCTTTTGCCTCTGAAGGTTTAGAAATTATGTATTAATACAACCTTTGAATGAAAAAATATATTCAATGACATCTCAGAAGCCCCTACGCTCAGCATTTAAGAAAATCCCACAGGAGCCTCTAGCTAGCCCCAGAGATGTCCTGCTCCCACCCTTCTCCTGCCCCCTTTTTGGGAACTGTTTGGCCATCCTGCTCACATATGTGGTCATCTGAAGTGATCTTGGGATGCCCCTGTGAAAATAAGACAGATAGCCATGGAGTGGGGGTGGGGCCAGGATAGGGCCCAGGTGCCTTTGGTCTGCTCAGGAGCAGATTTATAGCATCTCCTTGCAGAGTTACAGAAGCATGTGGTGGATATAGGATGCTTGCAGCCTCTTGGCTGTTTGAAATTATGCCTAATAATAGGCCTGCCGACTGTGGGTTGGAATTCAGCTGACTTTAGGCCTGATTCTCAAAAAATAATTTTGAGCTAGTGACCCTGTGTGCACACTTGCCTGGGCACTGTGGTGTCCAACAACCCTGTGTGTGGCATTGGCACCAGGTTTCCTGAAGTAGAGGTCCTGTCTGGCAGGCTCCTCCCTTCCCTCCTGCTTCTGACTTGTGGGGTCCCCTGTGCCTCTATTTCTTTCCCTTGGGCAGAGCAGCACTTTGCTGTCAGTAGGAACAGATAAAGCTCTGATACTGTTGAGATAGTTCAAGGGTTGTAATTTTTTTTTTTTTTTTTTTTTTGAGACGGAGTCTCGCTCTGTCGCCCAGGCCGGACTGCGGACTGCAGTGGCGCAATCTCGGCTCACTGCAAGCTCCGCCTCCCGGGTTCACGCCATTCTCCTGCCTCAGCCTCCCGAGTAGCTGGGACTACAGGCGCCCGCCACCGCGCCCGGCTAATTTTTTGTATTTTTAGTAGAGACGGGGTTTCACCTTGTTAGCCAGGATGGTCTCGATCTCCTGACCTCATGATCCACCCGCCTCGGCCTCCCAAAGTGCTGGGATTACAGGTGTGAGCCACCGCGCCCGGCCTAAGGGTTGTAATTTTTAAATGAGGTTAATGACATTTTGGCTGAGCACTGTGGCTCACCCTGTAATCGCAGCACTTTGGGAAGCCAAGACAGGTGGATCACTTGAGGTCAGGAGTTCAAGACCAGCCTGGCCAACATGGCGAAATGCTGTCTCTACTAAAAATACAAAAATTAGCCGGACGTGGTGGCAGGCACCTGTAATCTCAGCTACTTGGGAGGCTGAGGCAGGAGAATTGCTTGAACCTGGGAGGCAGAGGCTACAGTGAGCCAAGATTGCACCACTGCACTCCAGCAGTGCAGTGTAAGACTCTGTCTCAAAAAAAAAAAAAAAAAGTGATTATTTCCTACACAAAAATTAATGTAAATAGAAATGAAAAGGGGAAAAAATACTTCCACAACACTGCCATCTTGGATAGTCCAGAAGTTTTCCTTTTTTCTCCATTATTCCCTTTGGCCTGGGACTAAATGAATGCCTCATTTTCAGATAGTTATAATCATAGCACAGGTATAAGTTTACGTGAGCTGCTCTTTTCATCTGATACTATGTAATTTTCTATGGTGCTAGAGTCTTTGCAATTGTTTAAAATGATTATGTACTATTTCTTTGAGTGGATATACCATAATTTGTTTAATCAATTTTCAAATAGGTTGTTGCCAGTTTTTTCTTCTAATACATATTACTGGAGTGAATATGTTGGTATTTTGTTTTTTTGTTTGGTTGACTGTTTTATTACCAGTTTTCTTTTCCAAGAGTCATAATCATTTATGGTGCTTTTTTTTTTTTTTTTTTTTTTTTTTTGTACCAGCTTTAGCCTAACCTAACCAGATGGGATATCATCTTTTAAATTTTTTAGGAAATTTTTTTTTTGAGACAGAGTCTCGCTTGTTGCCCAGGCTGGAGTGCAGTGGTGCGATCTCACTGCAATCTCTGCCTCCCAGGTTCACGCCATTCTCCTGCCTCAGCCTCCTGAGTAGCTGGGACTACAGGTGCCTACCACCACGCCCGACTAATTTTTTTGTATTTTTAGTAGAGACGGGGTTTCACTGTGTTAGCCAGGATGGTCTCAATCTCCTGACCTCGTTATCCGCCCACCTCGGCCTCCCAAAGTGCTGGTATTACAGGCGTGAGCCACTGCGCCTGGCCAGGAAATGTAATAGTTACAAATTTATCCCCCTAGTTTTTGCCTGCATGTATTTGGTCATGATTCAAGGTGGATATTTTTTATGGCTTACATGGCTAATATGAGTTTTGACACCCAGAAAGCAATCTTTTTAGATATGCAGCATTCTTGTGGGTTTCTTTCCTTCTAGACAAGGAACTGACTTGCGAATTCTGAGTTGCTTTCAGACTCTTCTGATCTCCCAAGTCAGGGAGGAAGCCAGCACCTTCATTACACTTCATTTTATTCTGAAGTCCTATTACACTAAGATAACTTTTAGCCACTGAGAAAAATATAGGCTCTGCCCATGTGCAAACAGGACATAGAGTATGAAATATTAAGTCACTGAGCAGATCTTTATGCTTGATACACTTAGGAAGATCCCACATTTGCACATACACAAAACAAACGATACAGGTGTTACAGATATATCTAGGTACAAGCAGTCAACTAAATTCTAGCAAGATTCCTCAAGATTCCTTTCTAAAATGCTTCCCAATGTCACAGATTGGGAAATACAGACTGGGTTTTGCAGTGGGCATATTATATATCTTATCTCATTGTTTACCATGAATATTTTGCTTGTTTAACTTCTGAGTCTCCATTTACAAAAAGGATTACTAACATTTCTTAGATCATGGTAAGGATGAAATGCATTAACATTTGTGTAAAGCACCTGATAGTGTGTCACATGTGTGAGGCATGGCAATAATTGATAGCTACAGTTATTAGAGATCTGACCCAAGTGTGTGTCAGGATTTTCAAAAATATGCATTTGGATCTTCCTTGCCTAATTTTGTGGTACAGTGAAAGAAAGGGTTATGGGCTCTAGAATCAGAAGAATTGGAGTTACAGAATGTCAGCTCCAACTTGTCCTAGAGGAGTGACTTTTGGAAAATTTGGACTTTTGGAAAAAATTACATTAATTTTTCCCCCTCATTCATTAATTGAGTTACAGGTAAAACCACACAGTGACTAACATATATAGATTGCTAAATAAATGGCAATTATTTATTTATTTACTGGGACAGGTCTTACTGTAGCACCCAGGCTGGAGTGTAGTAGCGTGCAGCCTCGGCTCACTGCAACCTCTGCCTCCCAGGCTCAAGTGATCCTCCTGCCTCAGCCTCTGGAGTGGCTGGGACTACAGGCACAAGCCAGCACACCCAGCTAATTCTTTTGTATTTTTTGTGGAGACGGGGTCTTGTTATGTTGCCCATGCTGGTCTCCTGAGCTCAAACAGTCTGCCTGCCTCGGCCTCCCAAAGTGCTGGGATTACAGGTGTGAGCCACTGTGGCCGGCCAGCAATTTTTATTATATCAGTGGTACATACCTTAGATACTGGTTAAAGGTAAATACTTTAATTGGTTTGTTTTTACTAAGCAAGGTAAAGCCAACACATTCTCTGCTTAGAGGAAGATTTGTAGAGAAAATCACATGGATAACACATTTTAGGAGCTCTTAAGATACAGCAGGACACATTCTAAGAGCTCTTAAGAACCATATGATCTCATGTGGCAAGAAGGAATTTATGGGCCTGGGGATGCTTAAAAGGCTCCAAGTTGAGACCAAGGTGAGAGTGGGCCGATGGCACAAAGGGGGCTGAGCAGGCTTGTTTGAGAGGGTGGGGAGAAGCAGAAATTGTGTTGGGAAGATGTCACAGGGCTTCAGGGCCTATGGGGGGGTGTGATGGTGTCAAAATGGCAGTTAAGCAAAAGAAAGTACTGGGAAAGAGAACTTTTCAGGTGTTATTCTAGCCCAAGAAAGATGAAAATGACAGTGACGAGAATGGAATGGGAAAGGACAAATACAGGAAGGAGAGTAGTGTCATGATGAGGTAGCATGGTAAATACAGAGTCAAAGTGAAAGGTCAGTTTGGGGTTATTCTAAAGCTTCTTGCTTGGGATGATCATGGTTTTCTTTGAGAATAGGCAGTTGGGTCAGTTGAGGAAGAACAACCTTATCTTTGTCATTGAAAATGAGTTAGTTACTGCCTAATAATAAATGCATTTGTTGTCTTTTAGAAATGATTACAGTCACAAGTGACACTGTCCAGAGTCCTTAAGTACTGATCTGTCTAGAGGGCCAGAGGCCTTGCTCTGTCTCTGCATGGTCATTAAAACCTTTGCCATATGGGGCCGGGCGCGGTGGCTCATGCCTGTAATCCCAGCACTTTGGGAGGCTGAGGCGGGCGGATCATGAGGTCAGGAGATCGAGACCATCCTGGCTAACACGGTGAAACCCTGTCTCTACTAAAAATACAAAAAATCAGCCAGGCACGGTGGTGGGCGCCTGTAGTCCCAGCTACTTGGGAGGCTGAGGCAGGAGAATGACGTGAACCCGGGAGGCGGAGCTTGCAGTGAGCCGAGATATCGCCACTGCACTCCAGCCTGGGCAACAGAACGAGACTCCGTCTCAAAAAAAAAAAAAAAAACCCTTTGCCATATGGTTAATAAGCCCTATAGACCCCACATCCTTGGCATTCAGAGCCCAGCACCTGCCTGCAACTCTCTTCATAGTATCTCATCCAATTTTGGACTTTGGGCATTTCTTACTTTCTTGCAACTTGGCTATACATTTTGTCTGACATTTCTAAGTGTTTTGTTGAGGGAGGATTTTTAGTCCCTGTTCTATGTCATAGTGCATGAAATAGAAGTCTCTCATTCCCCAAGTGGCAATAGTCTACTCTGAAATCCTAGGAATGAGAAGAACTCTTATCAGTCAGGGTCCCAGTAGAAAACAGATGGCACATTCAAACTGGGTAATTTAAGGAGTGTTTAATTGTATCATTCAGGGTTCATTCAGGAAAAGAGAAGTTGTCTATTCCGGTATGAATGGTTTTGATACAGGAATTAAGGCTTTACCCAACCCTGGAAGAACTGGAATTGGGAAGGTTCCTGATGATTTCATACTGAAGTGTCATAGTGAATGGTTCTCGTGAGCTCATGGGGAAGCCGCTATGAATCCACGTGTGCTGCATCTACCTCCAGGGAATATCATCAACCTCTACGTTTATTTTGCCTTCTAAATCTCTCTTGCACTTCTCATTGCAAACTCTAACCCAGAACCATGCTGCTAAAGGGTTCTGGAACGGAAGTTCTCAGCTTCTGATCTGCAGAGGAGAGCTTGGAAGGAGGGTGGTCACGATGCTGAGTTGACAACAATGCAGAAGATTAATAAAGGGACTGGAAAGGGTGAGCAGGGTTTGGGGAAGCCAACAGGAAAGTGAAGTCTTCTGTGCTAGCAGTAGCAGGGAGTTGTTACCTACTGCCTTCTAGACCTGAAGGGCAGAGGATGAAGTGGTTCCTGGAGTTTGGAGAAAGTGGCTATATGTTGAGGTTGCCCGATGGAGCTGCAGCCATTGGTGGAGGGTCTCAGCCAGCCTCAGTAACCTCGGGGTGGGAGCCAGGAGAGTAAGTTCCTCTCACTTTCCTCCTCTCCTGCCTCTTACCAGCCAAACTGGGTCAGAAGGCAAGGGTGGTGGGGCCTGTCAGTTGTCCTTCCATTGTCCGTTCTAGGGCATAGAGTAGGGTGGAGATGGGTGAGGAGAGGCTGTGGGGGCAAACAGGGAATATCCCTTACACAGGCTATAACTAGATGCATCATTGTCAATGTCTTGAGGATTTAAAGGCAAAGAAGGAGAATAAGCAGAAAATCATGACAGAGGATGAAAAAATTAGCTGGGGCCAGGCACAATGGCTGAATTCTAGCACTTTGGGAGGTTGAAACAGCAGGATGGCTTGAGCCCAGGAGTTTGAGACCAGCCTGGACAGCACAGTGAGACTCTGTCTCTATTTTTAAGAAATTATAAAAATTAGCCATAGTCCCAATTATTTTTTAAAAATTAGCCAGGGGTCCCATGCCTGTGGTCCCAGCTACTTGGGAGGCTGAGGCAGGAGGATTGCCTGAGCTGGGAGTTGAGGCCGCAGTGAGCCTGTGGTCATGCCACTGCACTCCAGCCTGGGCAACAGAGTGAGACTCTCTTTCCAAAAAAGAGAATGGATTGGGAAGTGGGATGTTGTTGGACATATGGAGGAAGAAGGACAGAGAAAGCCAATGTTGGTTTTCTATAAGAGGGCAAGGTCATCAGCCCTCTAATAGGATGGGGAGAACAAGTCTGCAGCTGGTTATGAGTGAGTTTGTGAGGTCGGCACATGGACTCTGGAATGTTTAGGCACAGAGTTCTGGACCTCACTAATACACCTCCACAGCCCTTCTGAAACTGTTCAGAAAGTTAGGAATATAGGAGAAAAACAGGAAAGGGAGAGTCATTATGGATGGGAAGTACATCGGTAGGCCTCTTTTTTATTTATTTATTGAGACGGAATCTCGCTTTGTTGCCCAGGCTGGAGGGCAGTGGCGCGATCTCTGCTCACTGCAACCTCTGCCTCCGAGGCTCAGGCGATCCTCCTGCCTCAGCCCCCCGAGGTGCTGGGACTACAGGCACGCATCACCATGCCTGGCTAATTTTTGTATTTTTTATAAAGATAGGGTTTCGCCATGTTGCCCAGGCTGGTCTCGAACTCCTGAGCCCAAGTGATCTGCCCGCCTTGACCTCCCAAAGTTCAGGGATTACAGGGGTGAGCCACTGTGCCCAGCCTCTTTTTTAGAGTGTGTATGCAAGTTCCTTAGGTGACTTATTCCTTTGAGGTATCAGATTTTCCTTACTATTTGTATTCATTTAAACAAAGGAATTCAGGCACTTATTATTACTAATCACAGTGCTTTAAAACTGACTACACTGATGCTTTTTTTAAGATGATGGGATAAAATTGGAATTATCTCTATTAGCTTTTTTTTTTTTTTTTTTTTTTTTTTGAGACAGGGTTACTGTCACCCAGGGTGGAGCACATTGGCACATTCATAGCTCGTTGCAGCCTCGAACTCCTGAGTTCAAGCAATCGTCCTACCTCAGCCTCTTGAGCAGCTGGGACTGTAGGCACACCTCATGACACTGTGCATTTAAAATTTTTTTTAACCCAGGCTGGTCTTGAACTCCTGACCTCAAGCGATCCTCACACCTCAGCCTCCCAAAACACTGGGATTACAGGTGTGAGCCACCACACCCAGCCTATTACTTATTTTATAGCTCCAGGTTTACATTTTCTGTCGTTGGTATATGCTAGTTGGTTTTCTTAATTGGTTTACTTGGCATTCCTAAAAAAGATAAACCTGGGCAACCACCTTCTCCTACTCAGGTGCTTCATGTATACTAAGAATATTTAGCATGACTGGAACCCTGCAGGAGGTATTTGGCCTTGGATTTTTTTTTTTTCTTTTTCATAAAGTAGAACCATAACAATAGGGAAAGGGGTATCATACAGGACAGGGAATCTGCAGGGGAAGGCTGAGAACAGACCTAAGAAGGAGTCCTTCCTGTATCTGTTTTCCCTGTCTGGAGATAGGGCAGCCTCAGGCCTGATACCCTGATGTTTAAAGTGGCCTTTAGCTCTTGGTGGCTCCTATTTAGGAAGAATATGGAGCAAGTGGCAACATTGTTTATACACTCAGATCTTCAGAAGCCTGATTTTATTTCCAGAAGGATTAATTAAACAACATGTAACATAGCTTTTTATAGAGAATATCTCTTGAGAAGGCTTTTCATTAGTTTAAACTGCTAGCTTTAATGTTTTTGTTCAATTTAGCCCCCATTCAGCCTTGTTTTATCTAGAGAAGGCCACTGGCACTGAGGAGTAGAGCAGGAGCACATCACAAGGGGAAAAAATTAATACTCATGTAGACAGAATTGCTCTTGATAGTTCTAAGAATGATGGGGAGCGGGTGAAGAGCCAGCTGGAACAGTATGGAGGTCCTTATAAGAGGGTGGCAGTGAAGGGACAGATTTATTGTGGGTGGCTACCCACTTTCAAGGCCAAACTGACAGGACAACTGGTATTTTTTACTGACCATGTGGAAGACCCTCTGGGCAATGTAATGTTAAAAACATGTCCTGCCCCCAGCCCTGCTGCCTAGGAGCTTTGTGAACTCTGCTTCTGTTTCCTCATCTGTAAAAGGAGCGTGCTAGTGTTGTGAGGATTAAATGAGTTAGTGTATGTGAAGTGCTGGAACAGTGTCAAGCAGCATCATCACCATTTGAATAGCTATTACCTACTGCCCTGCAGATTCACTGGAACAAAGCAACAGAGGCATTTTGAATAGGATGAGAAGTTTCCTTTAGATTCTGACATTATTTGCACATGAATGTTTAGCGATTGTTTTGGGTCACATGACTATATAATCAAGCTTAAGGAAGTAGACCCTTGTCTAGCTGTTTTAGACTTACGATATTTCAAGATATGGGTCAAGCTTTTAGAATTTGGGGTTACTGGCCATCTTCTGCTCTAATCAATATTTACTTTCTGAAGTCTTTCCTCAGTTCTCATGTGGACTCAAGCTGGGTCTTTCCCTTAGAACCGGACTCATGGGATTTTACAGGCAAGGTCTTCAGCATCCTCCAGCTCTGCTTTTAGGTTGATCATATTCTATTTTCACTTTCTATAATTCTCTCATGTCACTCCCACAGCACCATCTCTGAATATGTGAGTTCTAGCCTAGTTCTCTAAGGCCTAGTTCTTACACCATTTAATCATTCACACAGACTCCGGTGTGATGACGTGAGGATTACAGCAAGGAACAGTCAGTTTCTGCCCTTTAAGGAGTTTACATTTTAGTCAGAGGAGAGACAGACAGTAAACAAGTAGCATATATGTGTCTGTTTGGAGTAAGTATGGGGCCAGGCAGGGGATAAAACAGGGGAGGGAGTTACAGCCAGGGAAAAGGTGTGGAGCTGGCTGTTTTTACTAGAATGACCAGGGAATGAGTGACACTTGCCCAAAGACTGGAAGGAGAGCAAGCTATCTGGCTCTGGGAGAAGAACGTGCAGGTGAGAACAGAGTTCCTATGTAGATATGTGGTAGGCCTGTTCCAGGAACAAGGCAACTGTGGGGCTAGAGCAGAGAGTGATAGGGGAGGAGCTCAGAGAGGTCAAGGGGGTGGGAGCAGGGGCCTTTGAGACCAGTTTCCCAAAGAATGAGGTGGGAGCCACTCCAGGGATTGGAGAGGATAAATCTGACTTACCTTTAAAAAGGTTGTTGACTTTCCTGCAGGCAACTCCATTTTCAGCTCCCCTTCAGGGGAACTAGGAAACTAGCTTCATAAACCATTGTAACTAAACTAAACTGTCTATTACACCTCACTTTACCCTATATGTATTTTGGAACTTGTTTTTTTAAGTAATTGGTTCTAAAGTCACTTGGAGCAATTTGGCCTTGTCCCTTTCATCTCTGACTCTGAGGAGACAGGCCCAGGTGAAAGGGGAAAAAATCAGCTTGATTGATTAAGAGGGATTATAATAGGTAATACAAAGTGGTGGCTCAGTCAGATAACTTTGAAAGAGTCTGGGTCCTAGGCTTGATGAATTCCTATTTTCCTCTCTGTTTTTTGCTGTCCTCCAAGATGATTGCTTCTAATTCTTTCATAGTAATGGCCAGTAATAACTGTGAATTTAAAAAACTGGCAAATACAAATACCACATGGCGGGTAAAGGTGCTGGAACTTCTTGGAAACCTCCCAAAATAATCTGGAAGAATAGTCACTGCTATTCACTGGCTTAAGTCTAGCCCTTTGTACCTGGGAATTGAAGGAGAGTGGTGGAGAGAGGGGTGCTGTAGACACAGTCATATGCCAAGAAGAGGTTGACTCCAAAGTTTGTGTGGAACCCATATGGGCTGAGTGTCCTGGAGTCACCAGTCATCACAGGTAGTTGGCAATTATAGTAAAGCTGCAAAAATTTGCACTTGGACATAAGGAATTGGCTGCAGTTCTCTGGCCAGGTCTGTTTCTCAGTGTTGGGGAGTGGCGATCAGCAGCCAGTGTTAAAACCCGCAGTTCAGTGATCACCCTAATACATGAAAGCAGAGAAATGAAAGTAGTGGCTTATGCCTGTAGTCCCAAAACTTTGAGAGGCCGAGGCAGGAGGATCATTTGAAGCCAGGTGTTTGATGCTGCAGTGAACTACGACTGTGCCCCTGCACACTCCAGCCTGGGCAAGAGTGAGACCTTGTCTCAAAAAAAAAAAAAAAAAAAAAAAAAAAAGGATTTGGTTTTTCTTACCCCACACCCCCTCCCCCGCATAACTGGGAGGCTTATTGAAAAATTGCTGTTTTTCATTGACAGTAATAACACAGCCCCATATTTTAATCTGGTTGAGTTTGGGGGCTCATTTGTCTAATAAGGCATTATTAGATATATGAGACATACATGTTTTTGCTGTATTGGGTTTGTATGCACTCAGAGTGCTGCTTTTCATTCTACTACAGATTCTTGCCTCACTCTTTAGGCCATTTCTCTGCATATGTGCATTTTCAGAAGTGGATAGGATAAAATATAAAAGATGAAATTCAAGGTCAGGCGTGGTGGCTCATGCCTGTAATTCCAGCACTTTGGGAGGCCGAGGTGGGCGGATCACGAGGTCAGGAGTTCGAGACCAGCCTGGCCAGCACAGTGAAACCCTGTCTCTACTAAAAATACAAAAAATTAGCCGAGCCTGGTGGCCATGCGCCTGTAGTCCCAGCTACTCGGGAGGCTGAGGCAAGAGAATTGCTTGAACCCTGCAGGCAGAAGTTGCATTGAGCTGAGATCGTGCAATTGCACTCCAGCCTGGGTGACAGAGTGAGACTCTTGTCTCAAAAAACCAAAAAAAAAAAATAGAAATTCAAACCAGTCAGCTTCATCTGGGCCTCTGATTCATCTTTATTCCCTCCATCATCTAGACTTGATTTTATTTGTACCAAGGAGATGCGTGTCTAATGTTTTTCTTTCTTCTATTTCTAGGAGGGCTGTTGGCCTGCTGCTGTGCTGCTGAACAGTATGCAGTCCTTTCGGGAGCAAAGCAGTTACCACGGAAACCAGCAAAGCTACCCACAGGAGGTACACGGCTCATCCCGGCTAGAAGAGTTCAGCCCTCGTCAGGCCCAGATGTTCCAGAATTTTGGAGGTACAGGTGGCAGTAGTGGCAGCAGTGGCAGTGGCAGTGGTGGTGGACGACGAGGAGCAGCAGCTGCTGCGGCAGCGATGGCTAGCGAGACCTCTGGCCATCAAGGTTACCAGGGTTTCAGGAAAGAGGCTGGAGATTTTTACTACATGGCAGGCAACAAAGACCCCGTGACTACAGGAACCCCACAGCCTCCTCAGCGAAGGCCTTCTGGGCCTGTGCAGAGCTATGGACCCCCCCAGGGGAGCAGCTTTGGCAATCAGTATGGGAGTGAGGGTCATGTGGGCCAGTTTCAAGCACAGCACTCTGGCCTTGGCGGTGTGTCACATTATCAGCAGGATTACACTGGGCCTTTCTCTCCAGGGAGTGCTCAGTACCAACAGCAGGCTTCCAGCCAGCAGCAGCAGCAGCAAGTCCAGCAGTTGAGACAACAGCTTTACCAGTCCCATCAGCCCCTGCCACAGGCCACTGGCCAACCAGCATCCAGCTCATCCCATCTACAGCCAATGCAGCGGCCCTCAACTCTGCCATCCTCTGCTGCTGGTTACCAGTTAAGAGTGGGTCAGTTTGGCCAACACTATCAGTCTTCTGCTTCCTCCTCCTCCTCCTCCTCCTTCCCTTCACCACAGCGTTTTAGCCAGTCTGGACAGAGCTATGATGGCAGTTACAATGTGAATGCTGGATCTCAGTATGAAGGACACAATGTGGGTTCTAATGCACAGGCTTATGGAACACAATCCAATTACAGCTATCAGCCTCAATCTATGAAGAATTTTGAACAGGCAAAGATTCCACAAGGGACCCAACAGGGGCAGCAGCAGCAGCAACCGCAGCAACAACAACACCCTTCTCAGCATGTGATGCAGTATACTAACGCTGCCACCAAGCTGCCCCTGCAAAGCCAAGTGGGGCAGTACAACCAGCCTGAGGTTCCTGTGAGGTCCCCCATGCAGTTTCACCAGAACTTCAGCCCCATTTCTAACCCTTCTCCAGCTGCCTCTGTGGTTCAGTCTCCAAGCTGTAGTTCTACCCCATCTCCTCTCATGCAGACTGGGGAGAATCTCCAGTGTGGGCAAGGCAGTGTGCCTATGGGTTCCAGAAACAGAATTTTACAGTTAATGCCTCAACTCAGTCCAACCCCATCAATGATGCCCAGTCCTAATTCTCATGCTGCAGGCTTCAAAGGGTTTGGACTAGAAGGGGTACCAGAAAAGCGACTGACAGATCCTGGGTTGAGTAGTTTGAGTGCTCTGAGTACTCAAGTGGCCAATCTTCCTAACACTGTCCAGCACATGTTACTTTCTGATGCCCTGACTCCTCAGAAGAAGACCTCCAAGAGGCCCTCATCTTCCAAGAAAGCAGATAGCTGCACAAATTCTGAAGGCTCCTCACAACCTGAAGAACAGCTGAAGTCCCCTATGGCAGAGTCATTAGATGGAGGCTGCTCCAGCAGTTCAGAGGATCAAGGCGAGAGAGTGCGGCAACTAAGTGGCCAGAGCACCAGCTCTGACACCACCTACAAGGGTGGAGCCTCTGAGAAAGCTGGCTCCTCACCGGCACAAGGTGCTCAGAATGAACCCCCCAGACTCAATGCTAGTCCTGCCGCAAGAGAAGAGGCCACCTCACCAGGCGCTAAGGACATGCCATTGTCATCCGACGGGAACCCAAAGGTTAATGAGAAGACTGTTGGGGTGATTGTCTCCCGGGAAGCCATGACAGGTCGGGTAGAAAAGCCTGGTGGACAAGATAAAGGCTCCCAAGAGGATGATCCTGCAGCCACTCAAAGGCCACCTAGCAATGGTGGGGCAAAGGAAACCAGTCATGCATCACTTCCCCAGCCAGAGCCTCCAGGAGGAGGAGGGAGCAAAGGAAACAAGAATGGCGATAACAACTCCAACCATAATGGAGAAGGAAATGGCCAGAGTGGCCACTCTGCAGCGGGCCCTGGTTTTACGAGCAGAACTGAGCCTAGCAAATCTCCTGGAAGTCTGCGCTATAGTTACAAAGATAGTTTCGGGTCAGCCGTGCCACGAAATGTCAGTGGCTTTCCTCAGTATCCTACAGGGCAAGAAAAGGGAGATTTCACTGGCCATGGGGAACGAAAGGGTAGAAATGAAAAATTCCCAAGCCTCCTGCAGGAAGTGCTTCAGGGTTACCACCACCACCCTGACAGGAGATATTCTAGGAGTACTCAAGAGCATCAGGGGATGGCTGGTAGCCTAGAAGGAACCACAAGGCCCAATGTCTTGGTTAGTCAAACCAATGAATTAGCTAGCAGGGGCCTTCTGAACAAAAGCATTGGGTCTCTATTAGAAAATCCCCACTGGGGCCCCTGGGAAAGGAAATCAAGCAGCACAGCTCCTGAAATGAAACAGATCAATTTGACTGACTATCCAATTCCCAGAAAGTTTGAAATAGAGCCTCAGTCATCAGCACATGAGCCTGGGGGTTCCCTCTCTGAAAGAAGATCAGTGATCTGTGATATTTCTCCACTAAGACAGATTGTCAGGGACCCAGGGGCTCACTCACTGGGACACATGAGTGCCGACACCAGAATTGGGAGGAATGACCGTCTCAATCCAACTTTAAGTCAGTCGGTCATTCTTCCTGGTGGTTTGGTGTCCATGGAAACCAAGCTGAAATCCCAGAGCGGGCAGATAAAAGAGGAAGACTTTGAACAGTCTAAATCTCAAGCTAGTTTCAACAACAAGAAATCTGGAGACCACTGCCATCCTCCTAGCATCAAGCATGAGTCTTACCGCGGCAATGCCAGCCCTGGAGCAGCAACCCATGATTCCCTTTCAGACTATGGCCCGCAAGACAGCAGACCCACGCCAATGCGGCGGGTCCCTGGCAGAGTTGGTGGTCGGGAGGGCATGAGGGGTCGGTCCCCTTCTCAATATCATGACTTTGCAGAAAAATTGAAAATGTCTCCTGGGCGGAGCAGAGGCCCAGGGGGAGACCCTCATCACATGAATCCACACATGACCTTTTCAGAGAGGGCTAACCGGAGTTCTTTACACACTCCCTTTTCTCCCAACTCAGAAACCCTGGCCTCTGCTTATCATGCAAATACTCGGGCTCATGCTTATGGGGACCCTAACGCAGGTTTGAATTCTCAGCTGCATTATAAGAGACAGATGTACCAACAGCAACCAGAGGAGTATAAAGACTGGAGCAGCGGTTCTGCTCAGGGAGTAATTGCTGCAGCACAGCACAGGCAGGAGGGGCCACGGAAGAGTCCAAGGCAGCAGCAGTTTCTTGACAGAGTACGGAGCCCTCTGAAAAATGACAAAGATGGTATGATGTATGGCCCACCAGTGGGGACTTACCATGACCCCAGTGCCCAGGAGGCTGGGCGCTGCCTAATGTCTAGTGATGGTCTGCCTAACAAGGGCATGGAATTAAAGCATGGCTCCCAGAAGTTACAAGAATCCTGTTGGGATCTTTCTCGGCAAACTTCTCCAGCCAAAAGCAGCGGTCCTCCAGGAATGTCCAGTCAAAAAAGGTATGGGCCGCCCCATGAGACTGATGGACATGGACTAGCTGAGGCTACACAGTCATCCAAACCTGGTAGTGTTATGCTGAGACTTCCAGGCCAGGAGGATCATTCTTCTCAAAACCCCTTAATCATGAGGAGGCGTGTTCGTTCTTTTATCTCTCCCATTCCCAGTAAGAGACAGTCACAAGATGTAAAGAACAGTAGCACTGAAGATAAAGGTCGCCTCCTTCACTCATCAAAAGAAGGCGCTGATAAAGCATTCAATTCCTATGCCCATCTTTCTCACAGTCAGGATATCAAGTCTATCCCTAAGAGAGATTCCTCCAAGGACCTTCCAAGTCCAGATAGTAGAAACTGCCCTGCTGTTACCCTCACAAGCCCTGCTAAGACCAAAATACTGCCCCCACGGAAAGGACGGGGATTGAAATTGGAAGCTATAGTTCAGAAGATTACATCCCCAAATATTAGGAGGAGCGCATCTTCGAACAGTGCGGAGGCTGGGGGAGACACGGTTACGCTTGATGATATACTGTCTTTGAAGAGTGGTCCTCCTGAAGGTGGGAGTGTTGCTGTTCAGGATGCTGACATAGAGAAGAGAAAAGGTGAGGTGGCTTCGGACCTAGTCAGTCCAGCAAACCAGGAGTTGCACGTAGAGAAACCTCTTCCAAGGTCTTCAGAAGAGTGGCGTGGCAGCGTGGATGACAAAGTGAAGACAGAGACACATGCAGAAACAGTTACTGCCGGAAAGGAACCCCCTGGTGCCATGACATCCACAACCTCACAGAAGCCTGGTAGTAACCAAGGGAGACCAGATGGTTCCCTGGGTGGAACAGCACCTTTAATCTTTCCAGACTCAAAGAATGTACCTCCAGTGGGCATATTGGCCCCTGAGGCAAACCCCAAGGCTGAAGAGAAGGAGAACGATACAGTGACGATTTCACCGAAGCAAGAGGGTTTCCCTCCAAAGGGATATTTCCCATCAGGAAAGAAGAAGGGGAGACCCATTGGTAGTGTGAATAAGCAAAAGAAACAGCAGCAGCCACCGCCTCCACCCCCTCAGCCCCCACAGATACCAGAAGGTTCTGCAGATGGAGAGCCAAAGCCAAAAAAACAGAGGCAAAGGAGGGAGAGAAGGAAGCCTGGGGCCCAGCCGAGGAAGCGAAAAACCAAACAAGCAGTTCCCATTGTGGAACCCCAAGAACCTGAGATCAAACTAAAATATGCCACCCAGCCACTGGATAAAACTGATGCCAAGAACAAGTCTTTTTACCCTTACATCCATGTAGTAAATAAGTGTGAACTTGGAGCCGTTTGTACAATCATCAATGCTGAGGAAGAAGAACAGACCAAATTAGTGAGGGGCAGGAAGGGTCAGAGGTCACTGACCCCTCCACCTAGCAGCACTGAAAGCAAGGCGCTCCCGGCCTCGTCCTTTATGCTGCAGGGACCTGTTGTGACAGAGTCTTCGGTTATGGGGCACCTGGTTTGCTGTCTGTGTGGCAAGTGGGCCAGTTACCGGAACATGGGTGACCTCTTTGGACCTTTTTATCCCCAAGATTATGCAGCCACTCTCCCGAAGAATCCACCTCCTAAGAGGGCCACAGAAATGCAGAGCAAAGTTAAGGTACGGCACAAAAGTGCTTCTAATGGCTCCAAGACGGACACTGAGGAGGAGGAAGAGCAGCAGCAGCAGCAGAAGGAGCAGAGAAGCCTGGCCGCACACCCCAGGTTTAAGCGGCGCCACCGCTCGGAAGACTGTGGTGGAGGCCCTCGGTCCCTGTCCAGGGGGCTCCCTTGTAAAAAAGCAGCCACTGAGGGCAGCAGTGAAAAGACTGTTTTGGACTCGAAGCCCTCCGTGCCCACCACTTCAGAAGGTGGCCCTGAGCTGGAGTTACAAATCCCTGAACTACCTCTTGACAGCAATGAATTTTGGGTCCATGAGGGTTGTATTCTCTGGGCCAATGGAATCTACCTGGTTTGTGGCAGGCTCTATGGCCTGCAGGAAGCGCTGGAAATAGCCAGAGAGATGGTGAGTATGAGAAATCTCTTACCAGCTTGGGATTTTTATTTCATTTGGTTCCTTTTCTTGCATGTTTTTGTTCTTACATGTCACATGATTATTCCTCCAAATTAAAGTGCCTATGCCCATGTGATGGACAGAAAATGAAATAGGTAATTTGGAAGATTTGTATAGACTTCTAAAATCGTTTTTCATTTTTTGAAATGTATAATGCTTATGAAGCATATTATTATATTTCAAGTTTCTTGGGCCACATCTTTTCTAACGCACACTTTCCAGTTAGGATATTTATTCTTTGGATCTGTTTCATAACTTATCCTGGGGCAGATCATCAACATCATCATCTTCATTTCTTTCTCTCCTCTATTGAATGTTCTGTTTCCTGAATCCCATTTCTTCCTCATTCTTAAAGTGAGCCTTCATTTAAGGGCGTGCATCATCCTTTAGTAGTTTTGTGAGAAAGGGTGTGTGGGAGTGTAAAAATGTTGAGATCCTATATATCTGAGCATGACTTTATCCTAGCCTCATGCTTAATTGAGAGTTGGCTAGGTGTGGAATTCTAGATTGGAAGTGATTTTTCTCTCACTGTCTTGCAGTCGTTCTTCCTGGTTTGTCCACTAGCTTCCAGTGCTGCAGTTGAGAAGACTGCCATTCTAATTTTTCATCCCTTGATGCATGTTCTGTTTTTCTTCTGGAAAGTTTGAGGATCTTCTCCTTTTCCCTAGGGTCTTGAGATGTCAAAATGATAGGTCTTGACTAGGTCATTTCATGGTTGTGTTGGCTACTCTATGAGATCTTATGTACGCTGATGTCTTTCAGTTCAGGCAATTTGTCATGTGGTAGTTCTTTGAAAATTTCCTTCCCTCTATTTTCTCTGCTCTCTTTATAATTCCTGTTAATATAAGGCATTTTACCTCCTGGATTGATCCGCTGTTTTTATCTTTTCTCCTCTGTTTTATGTTTTATCTCATTATCTTTTTGTTCTGATTTCTCTATGCTTTCTTCAGCTTTATCATCTAATCTTTTTTGTATGTGGGTTTTGTTTTGGTTTTGTTTTGTTTTGTTTTGTTTTGTTGTCACTCAGGCTGGAATGCAGTGGTGCGATCACAGCTTACTGCATTCTCGAACTCTGGGGCTCCCTGGTACCTGGGACTAAAGGTGTGTGCCACCATGCCCAGCTAATATTTATATTTTTTGCAGAAACAAGGTCTCACTGTGTTGCCCAGAGTGGTCTCAAACTGCTGGACTCAAGCAATCCTTCCACTTCGGTCTTCTAAAGTACCAGGATTATAGGCATGTGCCACAAGCCACAGTGCCCAGCCTTCTAGCCTTTTATTTACTTATTTTTTTTCTTGATATTTTGAAGAGCTTTTTTTTTCTCTGAATGTACTGACTTTTAAAGAATAATCAGAGCCTAGTTGATGGCTATAATCGTTTCTCTTGCTTTTTGAATACATTATAACGTATTTTTTGTTTTTGTTTTTGTTTCAGTTTCATGCCCTTACCCAGGCTGGAGTGCAGTGATGTGATGATGGCTCACTGCAGCCTCCAACCACTGGGCTCAAGGGATCCTCCCAAGTAGCTGGACCACAGGTGCATGCCAGTACACCTGGCTAAGTTTTTTACTTTTTGTAGAGACAGCATCTCACTTTGTTGCCCAGGCAGGCTGGTCTCACCACCTGAGCTTAAGCAATCCTCCCACGTCAGCCTTCCAAAGTGCTGGAATTACAGGCGTGAGCCACTACACTTGGCCTGTACTATAATTTTTAAAAATCTTTGTCTGTTTCCTATTTTCTCTTTCTTGTTAGAGGTTCTTCAGATGTCTTGATTTTTTTTTCTTTATTGAGATGGGGTTTCGCTCTTGTTGCCCAGGCTGGAGTGCAATGGCGCAATCTCAGCTCACCGCAACCTCCGCTTCCCAGGTTCAAGCGATTCTCTTGCCTCAGCCTCCTGAGTAGCTGGGATTAGAGGCATGCGCCACCATGCACAGCTAATTTTGTATTTTTAGAAGACATGAGGTTTCTCCACGTTGGTCAGTCTGGTCTCGAGCTCCTGACCTCAGGTGATCCGCCCACCTCGGCCTCCCAAAGTGCTGGGATTACAGGCTTGAGCCACTGCACCCAGCCTTGATTTATATTTTTAAGAGAGAAAGAGATGTTTTAAAAAATGACTTGAAGCTCTCTGTTACAGTATGGGCCAGGCTTGCTAGCCTGTAGTCCTCTCCGTAGAATAATAAGGCAGCCAGCCAGCATATGGGTCTTTTTTCTGAGTTGAGTTTTCCCAGAGGAAAAAAAAACATTTTTTTTTTTGTTCCAGAGAAAAATCTTGAGATTTCCTGTCTAGAGATGCAAGCTTGGCTGCCAGCGTCCTAAAAGCCAAGTGGAGAAGAGGATGGTAGGGTTGTGTGGGTGGGGATATGGGCTCATGATTCAGTGCGCGGACTTTGACAATCTCCCGCCTGTTTTCAGTGGATGAGAACAGTTACCTGGTTGAACTGGGTTAAGGATCTAACTCCTCTTAGAAACTTTGGGCTAATGCTCTATTTTTCAGCCCCATGTTGCACCCCCACTTACTGAGGCCTCCCCAAGCTCTGTGCCCTAAAGTGGCTGGCTTTCTGGGGGCTCCTCCACTGCACTCATCATTACTGTCTGCTTCCTTGCAGTGCACAGAATCACTGTCACTCACTTCATCTCTCATGTTTCCAGCTTCCCATTGCTCATGGTGTCATGAGTTTATCTTGCAAGTTTATCCACTTTTTCGTGGGAAGGGATCAGATGGATGTACAACTGTATGTTTAGTAGTCTACCATATTATTTATAACCTTCTGGCAAAAAGAAGTGCCCATAGACTATAGTAAAAATTATATTGAATGTGAAATATATATTTGAAATTAGAACATTTTAATTCAGTCATGCAAGGAGCTTGCCCTTTACTCTTATCATGTCCCCTATCTCCCAATTACGGTCTTTTCTTTGTGCCTCCTTCCCTGTCTCCATTATTAACATCACGGTGAAACTCCAAGTTTGAGGTAGAAGATTCACTTCCCCTAAGAAGTTTATACACAATGACATTTTAAAATGCAAAGATCCTAGGAGGATGTAACATTTAAGACCCTCAAGTACAAAATTCTTTAGTCAAATTTGAGCGCTCAAAATAATCCGTTAATCATCCTCTTGTCAAAGTTGAGTTCTTGCTTCCCAACTTTCCTTGGAAAGTCACAGTATTTGGTGGGTTTTTTGTTGTTTGTTTTTTGAGACAGAATCTCACTTTGTTGTGGGGTTTCACCATGTTGGCCAGGCTGGTCTGGAACTCCTGACCTCAGATCATCCATCTGCCTTGACCTCCTAGAGTGTTGGGATTACAGGTGTGGGTCACTGCGCCCAGCCTGTTTATTGCTTTTTGATGTGCATATGTGTATGTGACCATCTGACAGTGTTTTCGTTATTTCAACATTTATTATTAACATATCTCAGCCCAGTTTTTTTGTGTAAACTTTTAGGTGTTCTATAGCAATAATTGATAATCAGTAATCAGGCTAAATCTTCCCCAGCAAATCTCTAGATCCTGTGTCTCAATTCAGGTCTTGGGCCGAGCATGATGGCTCACGCCTGTAGTCCCAGCACTTTGGGAGGCCGAGGTGGGCAGATCGCCTGAGGTCAGGAGTTCAAGACCAGCCTGGCCAACATGGTCAAACCCCGTGTCTACTAAAAATATGCAAAAATTAGCTGGACATGGTGACAGGCACCTGTAATCCCAGCTACTCGGGAGGCTGAGGCAGGAGAATGGCTTGAGCCTAGGAGACGGAGGTTGCAGTGAGCCAAGATGGTGCCACTGCACTCTAGCCTGGGCGACTGAGTGGGATTCAATCTCTAAAAAAAATAAGAAAAAAGTTAGGCTTGTTGTCTCTTTGAGCTGATGTACCACTATCACTATAAGATCCGTTTCTAGCTTTTATTTACCTAGCTTTTATTCTACTTTTCTCAGTGCACTCAAGGACAAATTAAAATTACACTAACTTGCCTTTTATTTAATTTGACAGATGATGTTTCAATTGTCCAGGATACTTTGAGTCTAGTTTTATCTTACTAGGTTTTAGCAGATAGATGCATTCAGTTTTGGTCTTGCTTAATGAGCATGCCCTTAATCCTATCATGTAAGATAAAGTCACATATATTTCATTAGAGATCCATTTTGGCCTATGTATTTATCAGGTGTTTTGACAAGCACGATGTTATATTAAAATATTGGGAAGTCCTCAAGAGACATTGCTCCTCTCCCTGTGTCACACTACTCTGAAAATTGCCGAAAACTAGAACATTTCTATATTTAAAAATGGTGTTTACTTCCCTTCCTTTTTCCCTTCCTTTTTCCCTTCCCACAAGTGTGGGACTTGTGAATCTATTCATTTCAGCACAAGTCCCCTTTGCTTCTGTCCAACATTGACCACTGTTTGCCTTGGTATAATTGTGTATGAGAATCACAATGACCTCTGACATGAATGATATTACAGAGGTAATTGCCTCTGAATGGGTATGGATATAACTTGGTATGTACAAATCACCTTTGAGACATTAAGGAATGCCAAGGCGTGCAGGGATGTGACAGAAGGTAGATCTGGTGGCCATGGATCCCTTGAGGCTGGATAGCCCTACTAGTGGGGGAGTCGGGGAGTCTTTGCTTGTTCCCCTCTCATAGAAGGTGCCCCTCCCAAATTTTTCCAACCCCCCTTGGGAAACTTTTAATCTTTTTTTTTTACCTGACAGTATATGTTAACTGGTTTTAGGTTAATTTTTATTTTCTATTTTTATTTTTATTTTGAGATGAGTCTTGCTCTGTTGCCAGGCTGGAGTGCAGTGGCACAATCTTGGCTCACTGCAACCACCTCCTCGTGGGTTCAAGTGACTCTCCTGCCTCAGCCTCCCAAGTAACTGGGACTGCAGTCATGCACCACCACACCTGGCTAATTTTTGTATTTTTAATAGAGACAGGGTTTCACCATGTTGGCCAGGCTGATCTCAAACTCCTGATCTCAAGTGATCCACCTGCCTCAGCCACCCAAAGTGCTGGGATTACAGGCCTGAGCCACTGTGCCTGGCCAATTTTCTTTAAATTTCTGAATCAATATATTAAAGATTATATTTAGGGTTTTTTTTCCTTGATTTTTTGAGACAGGGTCTCACTCTGTTGTCCAGGCTGGAGTGCAGTGGCATGATCTCGGCTCACGGCAACCTCCGCCTCCTGTATTCAAGTGATTCTCCTGTCTCAGCCTCCCCAGTAGCTGGAATTACAGGTGCGTGCCACCACACCCAGCTAATTTTTGTATTTTTAGTAGAGACGGGATTTGAGGATGTTGGCCAAGCTGGCCTTGAACTCCTGACCTTAAGGAATCCACCCTCCTCGGCCTCCCAAAGTACTGGGATTATAGGTGTGAGCCACTGCACCTGGCCAGTTTAGGGGCTTATTTTTAATACAAGTTTAAATAATGGATAATTATTTACTTCCCCCATCTAACAGACTCACATCTTTCTTAAATTTACTTTAAATTGTGATGGAAAACATGATTTGGAAAATATAAAATAGATTGATTACATTATGAAAATGAAATCACATATTAAAACATCAAAACAGCCAAGTCAGAAAGGTAGGCTCTCTAGTTTAACTGTAAAATAGAGCCACCAGTCTACATGCTCTCTAAATTCTCAACTATATGTTCCTTGAAGGTGGTCATTTCCAGGGCCTGGCAAGGCCCCCATCCTGGTGAAGGCTCCCTTCAACTCCTGTTCTCTGCTCCTAACTCCAGTACCTCACCCCCACCCCTACCTGATTGTTCTTCCTCTGTGCTTGCTACAACTGCCCTTTCTCACATTCCCACACTCCCTTTCTCCATTCTCCTCTCCCTCCCAGCCCCCTCTCTCTGGCAAGCACTTGCTTTTTGTTACTTCTGCTGGGACCCATCTTCATTTCTCACTCTCTAGGCGGTGGCGCCCTGTTCCCATGGCTTTCAGTATATAGCAGAGACTTGTATCTAATTTACCTGTTTTTCTTAACACTGTGTGGTATATCTTTTTATATCACTGCATGATGACATTGACACTAAATTTCCAGAGAAAAGGTTCATTTTCTTTCAGGATTTCGTCCAAATTCTAAGGAATCAAGTGAAATTTTCA
Source organism: Homo sapiens (assembly GCF_000001405.40). Taxonomy (NCBI): domain Eukaryota; kingdom Metazoa; phylum Chordata; class Mammalia; order Primates; family Hominidae; genus Homo; species Homo sapiens. The sequence goes on along the minus strand of NW_014040930.1, from coordinate 105,664 downwards.
GTTTTGAATTTTATTGCATATATTACCTTACAGAATAAATCATGACAAATTGAAGGACTCAAATTTTACTACGATTTATTTCTTGACTTTTTTTTTCTCTCTAGAGGTAGGGGGATGATGTGGGGAGCATTACACTTGATTTTAAAGTAAAATTTATAAGGAGTACACGATTCTTTGGCCAAGGCTGGGCAAGGTGGCTTATGCTTGTAATCCTAGCACTTTGGATTACCTGAGCCCAGGAGTTTGAGACCAGCCTGGGCAACATGGAGAAACCCTGTCTCTACCAAAAATACGAAAATTAGCCAGTCTTAATGACCTAGTCTCAAAATAAATAAGTAGAGAAAAATATTCAAAAAAATCCCAAAGGACCATAAACAAAAATATTGATAAACAAGCCACAACACACAAGTTATTATATGTTAATTACTCATCCCTGGGATGTTAAACTAGTTATTGCTAATCTGTTAAAAGAGCTAACAGCAAATAGTATGTAAAAGCAGGCATCCCTTTCAATTCAACAAATATCTTGAGTCTCTACTGGAAAACCAGTTGAAATGTGAAGTTAAACTCCTGTCAGGGAACTTGCAGGGTGACTCAGCCTCAGCCTCGGCCCCTTAGCTGGTGTGTGGTTAGAGAAGCTCTATGTCAAGGCTTCTGAACTTCATGCAGGAAAGTTTGTGTGATTCTGCAGAAAGCAATGCCTTGCCGCACACAGGTCCTGCACTAGGGCTTCGATTTTTCCAAAAGATACGGCTTGCTTCATCCAATACTGTTTCAGGAAAATGGAGGTTCCTCCTCCGCACCCCAAGCCAAGGCCAATTTCGCGGGACCCTCAAGGCTTGCTACTGCAGATCAGATTCGTCCAATTTATTGGAAAAACGTATGAGAAGAGAAAATCAAGGCAGCTAAACACTTGCCCCGGAAGGTCCTGGCTTTTGCCGTTCTCCTCAACAGCTGTGTAGAGGGGAGGCCTGGGTGAGAGCCCCAGAGTCACACTGCTTCATATGAATTCCAGGACTTGTTGTTTCCTTGCGAGGTCACTAGCTCAAGTCACTTAACCTCTGTGCTTCACTGTCCTTACCATACAAAGTATGAAAACTGACAGCACCTACAGTAAAGAGGTATGTTAGGAGGATTAAATGTGTTGCTCTTTGGAAAGTGCTTAGAGCAGTGTTTGGCACATTTCAACAGTTAGGTGGTTTCAGAGGAAATGCAAGCTGCAGACTGGTGACCGCCCTCAGATGGTGTCCTCCCTCATTGTTGTCTTAGTAAAGATGTGTTCCTGTTAGCAAGCTCACTCAGTACTCTATAGCTTATGTTGTAGTTCCATCATAGTGCAGCTAGCTCATCTTGCCAGGGGTGTTCAGAACTTAATCTCTTTGAAAGTTGTCCTTGGTGGAAATAAAAACATTATCTCCTTTTTACTCTTGTTGGAAACTCAAGTTTGCTGCGGGGGGAAGGGTGGCAGGGTGTGAGGTATTTCAGGTGCAGTATTAATATTATGTCTTATGAAATAGCATCAGCCAACACGAACACACTCAGGAATTATATCTCTCAAAAGACAGAAGGCAAAAGGGAGGGACTAAAATCTACCTTGCATGTTAAGTAAAAGCATTAACATTCTAGTGAGATGACAAAGTTTTGATAGCGATTATCTAAAGCGAAAGAAAAGAATCTGCCTGGTAGTAAAGTTGGGTTTTTTTGGTTTGGTTTTGTTTTTTTTTTGAGACTGAGTCTTCCTCTATCCCCCAGGCTGGACCGCAATGGCACAATTTCGGCTCACTGAAACCTTCGCCTCCCAGGTTCAAGCAATTCTCCTGCCTCAGCCTCCTGAGTAGCTGAAGTTGCAGGCACCTGCCACCATGCCTGGCTAATTTTTGTATTTTTAGTAGAGACGGGGTTTCACCATGTTGGCGAGGCTGATCTCGAACTCCTGACCTCAACTGATCCGTCTGCCTCAGCCTCCCGAAGTGTTGGGATTACAGGCATGAGCCACCGCGCCTGGTCTAAAGTTGTTTTTTTAAGTAAACTTTTTAACATGTCAGCACTAAAAGGCCCAAAATAATTAAGAATTCTGAGTTTGTGTGGTGTATCCACAGAATGATTCAGGACAAATACTTCCCTATAGCATTCCACCTCCTCCCCTAAAACAGTGAATATACTGAGAATATGTGAACTCCAGAGGGCTTGTATTAGTCCGTAAAGAAATACCTGAGGCTGGGTGATGTATGAAGAAAAGAGGTTGAATTGGCTCACAGTTCTGGAAGCTGTATAGGAAGCATGATGCCTGCATCTGCTCAGCTTCTGGGGAGGCCTCAGGAAACTTACAGTCATGGAGGGAGGTAGAGGGGGAGCAGGAAGGCTTCTTGCATGGCAGGAGCAAGACAGAGTGAGGTGCGAGGTGTTGCACACTTTCAAACAACCAGGTCTTGTGAGAACTCAGTATCACAGGAATAGCACCCACATGATCCAGCCACCTCCCACCAGGCCCTGCCTCCAGCATTGGGTGCTACAGTTCAACCTGAGATTTGGTGAAGTCACAGATCCAAACCATATCAGGGATCTATTGTATTTGAAGGATTTAGCCTTTAATTTACGGGCAGTGCAAAACCATTAGTGATTTCTAAGCGTGTAAGTCACATGTACAGGTTTGTGTTTTATAAAGGAAACTCAGGAAATAAGTAGGGAGACATCAGAAGCAGACAGGTCATTCGAGAGGCTGTGGGATTAATTTGTGCAAGAGCTGGTAAGGACCGAGTATGTGGTAGAAACGGGAGTCAGAAGGATTGGATGGATCTGAGAAACGTTTTAGGGATTCAAAGTTGATAGACTTTTTTTTTTTTTTTTTTTTGAGACGAAGTCCTGCTCTGTCACCCATGCTGGAGTGCAGTGGCACGTTCTCGGCTCACTGCAACCTCCACCCCCCAGTTTCAAACATCCTCCCAGGCCTCAGCCTCCCAAGTAGCTGGGATTACAAGCATGTGCCACCATGCCGACTAATTTTTGTATTTTTTAGTAGAGATGGGGTTTGACCATGTTGGCCAGGCTGGCCTCGAACTCCTGACCTCAGGCGATCCACCTGCCTCCCAAAGTGCTGGGATTATAGGCGTGAGTCACCACACCCGGCTAAAGTTGATAGATTTTAAACACTGACTAGATGCAGCAGGTTTGGGAAAGTGAGGAGGCAGAGGTCAAGGATGAAGTTGAGGTTTCTAGCTCCAGCAAGTCAGTGGGCGAGGTGAGGGGTCATCAACATACCAATAACAGAAAGAAGGGTTGAAGAAAAGAAATTTAGGTTTGCGTTTAATATGTATTAGACAAGAAAATATTAGATATGAAGGCAGTTCAGCCTAATATACATGTTTAGATAAGTCAACACTAGATTCTAATACAGCATTTTAAATAACTGCTTGCTTTTTATTTAGCCTTTCAAATAGATGTAAACTGATAAATTTTTAAATCCAAATTGAAAGAAAGTGGAGAGAAAAATAGGAAATCATGAGGTCTGTGTCATGTTTATAAAAAAAAACCCAGAGAATCCCAAAAAGATACCAAAAAAATTTAAGCTATCATCATAATTATTCCTAAAATGTAATTGGAAGGGGAAACAGAAAGGATAACTTGCTGTTTGGGCTTTTTTTTTTTTTTGGACAGAGTCACTCTTGCCCAGTCTGGAGTGCAGTGGTGCGATCCCAGCTCACTGCAACCTCTGCCTCCCAGGTTCAAGCGATTCTCCTGTCACCACATCTGGCTAATTTTTTTTTTTTTTTTTTTTTTTTTTTTTTTGTAGAGATGGGGTTTTGCCATGTTAGCCAGTCTGGTCTCGAACTGCTGACCTCAGGTGATCCACTTGCCTTGGCCTCCCAAAGTGTCGGGATTACAGGCCTGAGCCACCACACCTGGCCTGTTTAGACTTTTAAAATAATTTTCCCAAGATACTGACAATGTGGTGAAAAACCAAGACTGTATTTAATTACACTGAGAAAGAGCACATGTCAAACATTTTTATGGGCCTGAAGAAAACCTCTCTGTTGTGCACAGTTGTACCCTATTTCCTCAGTTTCAGAATGCAGCCTCGTGCCTTTATGCACTGAATTGAGGCTAGGCAAAGTGCTACCACATGACTCTATGGTGAAATGGGCTCTGAAGTGGGAATCGTCGCTCTGCCCATAGGAAGGAGCAAGAAACATGGGAAAAGGCAGAAGAAAAGAAAAATTGGCCACAGGGTTTAGATGAGGTGCTGGCACCATCTGTGCTGGTCAGGGTTCCCATTTGAACTCCTGAGTCATGAAAAAGATTTACATATTATTTACATAAAGATAACAGTATTATTCTTATTGTAAAACTAATGGAACTGTTCGTAGAAGAATGCCGCAATCCTGATAACCCAACATATCTGACTCTTCTAGATTTTGTCCATGTGCTGATTATTTCACTAGATATAATAGTATAATACAGTTAGCTTCCCATATTCATGGGTTCTGCATTCTTAGATTCAATCAACAGCAGATTGGAAATATTTGGAGGGGGCAGGGCGCAGTGGCTCACGCCTGTAATCCCAGAACCTTGGGAGGCCAAGGTGGGCAGATCACCTGAGGTCAGGAGTTCAAGACCAGCCTGGCCAACACAGTGAAACCCTGTCTCTACTAAAAATACAAAAAAAATTAGCTGGACGTGGTGGCGGGCGCCTGTAGTCCCAGCTACTCGGGAGGCTGAGGCAGGAGAATGGCGTGAACCCAGGAGGCGGAGCTTGCAGTGAGCCAAGATCACGCCACTGCACTCCAGCCTGGGCGACACAGCGAGACTGTCTCAAAAAAAAAAAAAAAACTTGGAAAAATTCCATCTGTTCTGAATATATACAGACTTTTTTCTTCTTGTCATTATTCTCTAAATGAGAAAGTATAACAACTTTGCATAGCATTAGCTACATCATATTAGGTATCATACATAATCTAGAGATGGCTTAAAGTATACAGGAGGATGTGCTTAGCTTATATACAAATACTGTGCTATTTTATATAAGCGACTTGGGCATCCGTGGAGTTTGGTATTGGCAGAGGTCCTGGAACCAGTCCTCCATGGATGCCAGGAATGACTGTAATGACTGCTAACATGTACTGAATGCTTTCTAAGCACTATACGTGAATTACCACATTTAGACCTCAAACCAACCCTTTCTGGTGGGTCTCATCACACTCCAGGTGAGATTTGAGGTCCAGAGAGGAGCTTGCCCAGGATTCAAACCTTGTGAGTCTCCATCATCACAGTGTAGATACAAGTCTGTGTTGCTTTTTTTACTTTATTTTGTAATTTTAATTTTCATTCTAATCTGTGATTTCTTTTTTCTTAGTTTAGCGTGAGTATAATGTAATTTATTCAAGTACCGCACTTTTATTGAGGTGGTTTCCAGTTAATTTACTACTTTCTATGGAGCAATAAGCATTTTTATTTTTCGATTTAAAGAAAAATTTATGGCTGTTGAACTGCTAGGTCAAGAAGGGCCAACATTGTTATGGTTTTTGATAGGCATTGTCTTGTGGTTTAATCAACAAAGGGTCATAACAAGGCATGAGCATCCATGAGGACAGGTGAGCCTGTTTACTGCTACCTCAGTGGCATTGGACCTTCTTTTTAAACTTTTAGTTCCTTTTCATTTATTTTATTAGTGATATTAATGTTGTTCCCTGTTAATTTTGTGTTTAATGTCCATTAATTGTTAATTTGGAATTTTATTATTCTCAATTTGTTTTTCTGTACCTATTTCTCATAGCCTGAATCACTTCTCTGGAAAATTGAGATGTATGGAACTCCTTTCTTCAGGGGTGCCCCTAAATTAGGCATTAGTAGAGCTCTTAAAAAGTTTCTCATCCCAGCCGGGCACGGTGGCTCACGCCTGTAATCCCAGCACTTTGGCAGGCCGAGACGGGCGGATCACAAGGTCAGGAGATCGAGACCATCCTGGCTAACACGGTGAAACCCTGTCTCTACTAAAAATACAAAAAATTAGCCGGGCGTGGTGGCGGGCACCTGTAGTCCCAGCTACTCTGGAGGCTGAGGCAGGAGAATGGCATGAACCCGGGAGGCGGAGCTTGCAGTGAGCCGAGATCGCGCCACTGCCCTCCAGCCTGGGCGACACAGCGAGACTCCATCTCAAAAAAAAAAAAAAAAAAGTTTCTCATCTGTAAATTAGATGATGATAGAGGACTGTAAAGGATAAAACTAACTTTGCTGGAAATCAAGTAGCCTCCTTGGTGGAGGCTAAACTATTCCTGGAAGCTTTTGAGTTGATGTGGTTTTAAAGGAAGCAAATATTATGAGCTACCTAGCATCAGCCTTAGAATTGTGTCCTCATGTGTTGGTTTAGTAAAGATAACCCTCCTGTCTCTAAACTTATTGGTGGAAATTAAACTGAAGAGAAAATTCAGCCCTATCTGATGCTGTCCACGTAAACCTGGTAATAGTGGAGTGATTTTGGTTGTATGCACTTAAGAGCTGACACTTAATTTGAAGATGTTGGCAGCATACTGCTGTCAGTTAACGTGCCTTATGAAAATAGAATTGAAGAACTGCTACACAGGCAGATAGACAATACCAGGGTCAACAGAATAACAAATTTCCAGCCGAACTCAAATCTGAAGTGGTGCTAGTCCCTTCTGATGGACTAGCACCACCAGTGGGACCTGGGTGCCCTGACATTGTTCAGCGGTGGAGGCATTTCATCTCTGTTATGTGTTTCTCACGGAGCAGCTAGTGGAAGTTTCTAGTAAAATGTATATTCATCTAACAAGTCTCAGGCCTATTCATTGTGGCTGGCTCCCTAGGGGTGCCATGTGGTTCCAGACTTTGAAAGCTGTGATTGTGAACCTTAAATCTTAGTTCAGACACATGTCAGGTGAAGGCCTCTGGTTTGCTTGAAAGTTATTTTTGTTTTTTCATACAAAGCTGGTTGCTAGGATAATAGTGTAATTCATTAGGATAAGTGATAGGACAGTTCCCAAATTATTCTGTTTGCTTGTTTCTAGGTAGGGTTCTTTATTGAAGTAATAAAAATATACTAATGCTTTGAAAGGGCAACCCCTCAAAAATGAAATGTATTTGTTTGCTGATATAAGACTTTGTGTCTCCCTCCTCTTCAGAGAGCAGGCCTGGGCATTTTAATCCACTATTATTTGTGAAAAGCACATCGATTTAAAACCAGCTCACCTGTCACCTCATTCCCCAGGCAGCAAGTGCTGCCCAGCTGCACTCCCATTTTACCTGTTACACCACTTAGCACCCATGGGTCAAATCCCCCAAGTCACTCCAATAGTGGCAGGTCTGAGTGCCTCCTCACTGAGGGTAGGACAGACCTCTGAGACCTTACTGACTCAGCCTTCCCTTTGCAGGTTACACAGACCCAACAGTATTCAGAGCCTATGCCTCCCAGCACTTATGCAAATGCCCAGCTAAGCTGGAGCTGCTCTTGGGGTGACTACCAGCTTATCTGATTGTCGTCCTCACCAGATAGGCTCCCCAAGGGCTGAGTTGGCCCCAGAGCCCACCCTAATGCCTGGCATGGGGGGTGATCAGTGCAGGGTAAATTTGTGACTGACAGGTTCTTTAAGAGACACGTAGAAGCAATGTAACCTCCAGTGGGAAGAGGTGGGCCTTTGGATGCCATTTAAATATGTATGTTTAAAAGTATGTAATATTGAGCTGGGCATGGTGGCTCACACCTGTAATCCTGGCACTGTGGGAGGCCGAGGCAGGCGGACCACCTGAGGTCAGGAGTTTGAGACTAGCCTGGCCAACGTGGGGAAACCCCATCTCTACTAAAAATACAGAAGTTAGCTGGGCATGGTGGTGGGCACCTGTAATCCCAACTGCTGGGGAGGCTGAGGCGGGAGAATCGCTTGAACCGGGAGGTGGAGGTTGCAGTGAGCTGAGATCGCGCCATTGCACTCCAGCCTGGGTGACAAGAGCGAAACTCCATCTCAAAAAAAAAAAAAAAAAGTATGTAATATTGGAAATAATTTGTGAATATGCTGGTCAGAATTTTAATCTACGTATAAAAATTTAAGGAGATGTTAAAATGTGTTTTGGTAGTGAGACTGATTTTTGTTTTCCTGTTATAGTTTTGGGGAAAAAAATGATGAGAGATGGATGACCAGCAGCATTCTTAATTTCTTGTCCTTGTGGTTCTTTGTAAGGCAGAGGAACAGGTTTTGCCTTCATTATAGAGGGCATCTGTATGAGGCTTTGTTGTTCATGAGTTTCAGTGTATGTCTCTGGGGACAAAAATGTGAGTTGCCACTGGGTGAATGTAGTGCCACCTGAATGTTGAAAAACACAACTCCTGAATCACCACCAAACCTGTTCTTCCTCCAGGGTCTCCCAAGAGAACAGGTTTGGTGGGGATTCAGGAGTTGTATTTTGTTCATGTTAAGTCTGAGATGCCTCCTAGACATTGAAATGCACAATGACCATTTCAGAATGAAGGAATTTCCAGTGGATAGTTTTTAGCAGGTAAAAGCAGCCCCACCTTATGTTCAGTGAGCACTTGTGTAAGTGCTGGGAGGCATGGTCTATGGATACTGTGAGGTCTGTGTAAGTGTGGAGAAGCTACACCTAACTCGGCCAAAGGGAGGGCTGAGTCAGTAAGGCCTCAGAGGCCTGCCCTCCCCATGTGGCACTTGGACCTGCCACTACTAGAGTGACTTGGGGGGTTTGAAGCGTGAGTGGCAGGGGAAATAGGCACATGTCAAGAACCACACTCTGCTGCTTTGCCAGTCTCCTCCACCATGCCCTGTGAAACTCACAGTCCACCAAGAGCACTCTCTTAGTTCTCTGCTCTGAACAACCACTTTGCCTGGCTTTCTCAGTAACACCATCTACCGCTACCCCCGCCCCCACCCCACACTCTCCCAGGCAGAAGCAGAGTCATTAGTATTTAGCCCTCTCACTGTGGGCCAAGTGACAACTTGTTCCTTCACTAGGGTACATCAGGACAGGGATAAGCGTTAAGCATCCCTGGTAGAGACCTGAGGAACATTGTGCAAGGCGGCCGGGGTTGTTGATAGTATCTGTATCAACTACTAATGTTTTAGTTTCGCCTCCTGGCAGGGCGAGGGTTTTAGCAGTGCCACAGAAACCGTTCTTCATTGAAGCAAATCATCTCCCAATAATGGAATCTCACTAACTTGCTGACCCAGCATTCTGTTCTCTCAGACCTACCTCATCCCTTCCCACCTTTGGAAAAAAGCTCCATTTAAGGTGAATATGCCAACAAAAAATCTTGTTGCTCAGCTCCAGAAGATTCTCTGTTTAAGATCTTCCAAATTAGCTGTAGAGAACCCCAGGAAATGATCCAGCCACATAAAGACTCACTTTTCCCACGGACCCCCAAGGAGCTCTGAAACCACCAGCAAACACCCAGTTGTTGCCTTTAGCTCCTTAATTTGACTTGGGAACTCTGAAATCCCTTAGTCATTGGTGTATTTTCAGACAATTTCAATAATCTGACCAGTCCCATCCTCTACTTGTTGCTTTTTTCTAATCTCACTCTTGAAAGAAAAGTCATGTGATAGAACCACCTTTTATTATACGACCACCACACTGCCCAGAGACAAGGCCCAAAGGAGAGCACAGAGGCTCTTGAATTTACTGGACGGTCTTTGTTGGCAAAGAGTCATAATTATAGAATCTTTTAGGTCATATTTTATCCTTCATCCAGACATCTGTAGGAGTTGGCTTCTTGGGAAACTATAACATCACTTAGCCCCTAAGCTGAATTTCTTAACCTGTAAAATGGAGTTAATAACTGGACTGCCTTGTCAAGGTGTTGGATAAATGAAATCTGTCCTAACAATAGACACTTAAATCTTGGGCCTGGGCATGGTGGCTCACATCTGTAATCCCATCACTTCAGGAGGCTGAGGTAGGAGGATTGCCTAAGCCCAGGAGTTTGAGACCAGCTTGGGCAACAAAGTGAGATGCCATCTCTACAAAAAATAAATCAGCCAAGTGCAGTGGTATGCACCTGTGGTCCCAGCTACTAAGGAAGTAGAGGCAAGAGGATTCCTCTAGCCCAGGAATTTGAGGTTGCAGTGAGCTCTGATTGTTCCACTATGAGTACAGTGGCACAATCAAAGCTCACTGCAACCTCAAACTCTTTGGCTTGATGAATGAGTGACAGAGCGAGACCCTATCTCAAAAAAAAAAAAAAGTGTAGGTGGAGGAGGAGGAGATGTATTGAGGAATTATGCAGGATTTCTAAACTTGGTTATATTACTTCCAGATCTCTATTTTCTTCATGGAGACTCTTGGAGTTTCCTTTTCTTTTTTTCCTTTTTCCTTTTCTGTTGAAATGAGGATTGTACTCTTGCTGAGTATCTTCCTAATCTGGTAGGAATCTTCTGAAACAGAAATGTAGAAGAAAATTTCCATATCTATGAAGATGAATTGAACCAATAGTTCTAAAACTTTCTTGAGGATAAGAACCTGGGATGCTTCCCATTCAGTCTCTTCTGGGACAGTGTCCTCAGTCTGTGTTTTTTAACTCAAGCTTAGGACCATGCTGGTGCAGGTGGCAGAGTTACCCTTTGAGAAATGCAAAAATCAATTCTGAAAACTGAAGGTTCATAAGCTAGTCACAGATTTGGGTGCCAAAGTTTCCATTCTAGTGTGGACGTAGTTTTTCCTTCCAGTAGGTTTCCAGGAAGAAAAGGCCCCGGTTTGAGCATGACCTGTGGGAGTGACCTGAAATGAGATGTGAGACTATGTCTCATGTTGTTGCCAAATTAAATGACCCCACTGAAGCTTGGCTGAGAGGTGGCAGGGGCTGGCTTAGGATTTGAGGACCAGTGATCCTGTGGTAGTTTCATTGGCATTAGCTTCAGTATATCAAGATATCCTCGTTTTTGAAAGTTCCTTTCTGCTGGGACTCTGCTATTTCCTGAGCCTCCAGTGTCTGTCCTGTCAGGCTGCCCCTGCCTTTGAAAAACTTGCCACTTCCAGGAATAGGGTGGCTTTGCCTGACAATACCTCAACCTGTTTGAGAAGATGGACAGGCGAGAGCGTTGGTGAGATGGCAGTGGCTCCGGGTGCGAAAGAGGAAGGTAATATGAATGCAAGTAGGAAGAAAGGAGTAAAAATGAGAAAGACCTCCAGAGCCAAGTGTTTGGAACAGCTTTGGAGATTTCCGCTTCAGTATGATCTTCACAGATTTGAAATCTTGTTAAGGGAGTCCTATTGTGGCAGCAGGTTTGTCGTTTCTGCACTGAAACTGTAAACATTTCAGTATGGGTGCCTTGTGAATAAGCAGCTTCCAGTAATTGGCTTTCTGGAAGCACAGACCCAACTCCTGGGTAGGATGAGCCATGGAGAGAAGCAGCTTACACCAAGAGTCACTTCCCTGGAGTGTAATTTCTTTAAAAAGATGCCTTTTTAGATTCAGAAAGCACAAAATGTAATCATTTCTCTTTATAAGCTAATCCACTGTTTGAGCAAAGGGTAAAATAAAAATAAGCTAGTGCAAGACCTTGTGCAACTTCAATTTCAGTGTTTCAAACTATGTAAGTATTTCTCTCCCTGTACTTGAGAAAAAGCTCTTCTCTTTCTTCATCACAGGGCTGCCGCAGGTCTCCTACTCCTGCTGGGTTCAGCCTTTTCTCAGGTTCTCTGCTTTTATTCAGAGGAAAAGTGCTAATCAATGGCTTATACCTAGTCCTGGACTCTAGCACTCTGTGCCCTTCCTTTCTAATTTCTTAAAGGGCACAAGCTCCTTTTAACATAGGAAAAACTCCGTTAGACAAAATATATAAGGTTTTCAGCACAGTGGCAATTTTCTTTTGGGGCTATAAAAGAAACCCTCTGATTAGGATTATTTTAATGGAGTATATATAACTGTAGATAAGATAAAATGCAGGCTGGGTGCAGTGGCTCATGCCTGTAATCCCCGCACTTTGGGAGGCCGAGGAGGGTGGATCACCTTAGGTCAGGAGTTCGAGACCAGCCTGGCCAATATGGTGAAACCCCGTCTCTACTAAAAATACAAAAGTTAGCTGGACGTGATGGTGGGTGCCTGTAATCCAGCTACTTTAGAGGCTAAGGCAGGAGCATCACTTGAACCCGGGAGGTAGAGGTTTCAGTGAGCCAAGATCTCGTCACTGTACTCCAGCCTGGGCAACAGAGTGAGACTCCATCTAAAAAATAATAATAAAATGCAAACTGTGTTTCAGAAAAAAAGGCAAGTTTGGTTAGCACAAAGAAACATCATTAGTGACACCTGTGTTGGCCTTCTGAGTTATGAGACTTCATATTAACATTATAACAAACTACGTATACATTTTGTGCAAGAGAAAAATTACTAAACCAGGCCTTCTTGAGTAATGCTTTAATTTTCCAGAAGGGGGACATAGATTGGATTTAACTTAAATTGAGGCAAATGGATGTATTTTATTTGGGAAATTGTTTTTTGTTCCTCCTTTGTTTTGCCTCCATAAATTTATTAATGCAGAACCTGAAGGCTGTAAACCCAGGATAATTAGAGTTACAGTGTTACAGAACATTAAAAACCCACAGCAAGTGGCTGATATCTGCCTACCATATCTGCAGTTGAAGTTCATACCATGTGTGATAATTACGAACTTTCTTTTTTGTGGGCACCTTGGTAGAAATTATTAGTATCACCTGCCATATTTTCACATGTTACTTAAACATCAATAAAGTGTACATAGTAAAGCAGATAGCTGAGGGTGGGGAATAAGTGGTTAAATACTGTGTCTGACCTGTAAAATACGCTCTAAATAGACAAAAGGAACCCCTTTGTGTGGCAGCATAGCTGGGTTTGGTTTAGTAGCAATAGTAGATTGTTAGCTTTAACTCCTCCTGGATGTCTGTGCTGCTGCCCATAGCCTTGCAGACAAGCACAGACGGCCTTTGTAGTTTCAAGGGACCATCCATTCCACATGGGACTAGAGAGTAACAAAATGACTAGGGATCAGTGCTGGTACTTCCTGGGAAGTATGTGCAGGGTGTGTGTGTGTGTGTGTGTCAGTCAAGGTCTTGCCCTGTCATCCAGGCTGGAATGCAGTGGTGTGATCATAGTTGGCTGCAGCCTTGACCTCATGGGCTTGAGCAGTCCTCCTGCCTCAGCCTCCTGAATAGCTGGGACTACAGGGAGTGCCAACACACCCAGCAAATTTAATTTTATTTTTTGTAGAGACAGGGCCTTTCTTTGTTGCCCAGGCTAATCTTGAACTCCTGGCCTCAGGCAGTCCTCCCACCTCAACCTCCCAAAGTGCTGGGATAACAGACATGGGCCACCTTACTTGGCCCTGTTCAGGTTATTTTGCCCTGATCAGTGTCTTTAAGTAGCAGAAGATACCCCCACCGTGCCCTTTTTTCCCAACTGGGTATTATCCCCAATGTATTGTTGAGAAAATCAAGACTTAAATTAACTTGCCTAGGCTCCTGTACCAGTGAGAGACAGGGCCAAGTATAAGTTTCTTTTAGCCCTGCTGCTATTCCAGATCAGCAGCTTCAGTGGACAGCTCCGCTCCAGTGAAAAACTCCGAGAACTTCCTCTCCGCCCCAGCTTTCTCTCTTTTCCTTATTTCTTGTCTTTGTTTTTAGACTGCCTAAATTTGAGGTAAAAATCAAAAAAGATTTCTGATAAGGAATATCTGAATATAAGGAAGGTACACAGAGGAATTGTCAGTTAAACTAACTGGAACAGTTTCTTTGACTAGATTTGTCGTTGTTGTCCTCTACTTTAGGAGAAGTAAAATGATACGGAAAAAAAGCTTGCTAGCAGGGATTTATTTTAAAAAGCAAGTTTTAGGCTATGTCCTGGGATCACTTTGATAAAGCCTAGTCTCTTCCTCGTGTCTTACAAGAATACTCTTAATACAGAATCATAACTCTAAGACAACGGAAAACAATCAGTTTACTCAAAACCCTGAGCTATTTACTAAAGCAGGAAGATAGCCTGTGTTCTATAAAAGGTTTCTCGTAGTTACCCATAAAATGTCATTTGGAATTAAACCCATTCCTGACCAGTTGAGATTTTGCTCTCAGTCCAAAACATTCTCTTCTGTAAATGGAATCTTTCTAGGAGAAAGTAGCATTTAGAGCAGGTGCCACGTGTGTGCTCACCTCATCAGAATCCTGCTGTGCTGGCATCCAGAGGGCTCCCTGTCCACTGTGCTGATTTACACTGCCACACACTCAGGCTCACTGCAACACATCTCACAGACCCCCTGGCCATGTGTCAGCATCAAGTCCTGTCGGTTTTACCTTCGAAGTCTATGCTGCCTCTTGTATGCATTTCCACCACCAGTACCCAAACTCTTCCATATCATCCCTAACCCAGCAACAGCCATTGTTGGCCCTGGGTTCCTGCATATCAGCTTCCCACCCTCTCAGAGTTGTGCTCCACTGTGTTGGTTCCCTACACCCTGCCTGCTTGTCCCTCCACAAAGCAGTTTGTTCCCCTTCCCCCCAGGTAGCTCTTACTCACTCTTTATGACTCAGGTCAAGCTACACTCCCTCAAGAATGCTTTCCTGACTTCCTTAACTAGGTTGGTGGCATTAAGTCTGCGCTCTGAAGTACTGTTTACATCACTGTTTAAATTTTGCTTTACCCCCAGATCATTCTGTGAGCTCCTGGAGGGTAGACACTAGGTGAACTTTTGGCTCCCCATTTCAGCCCCTGCACACAGGCATGCAATAAAAATTTGTAGAATGAATAAAAAGAAAAGATTATTATACTTCTGAAGTCGATACCATCAACTCCTAAGGGAACTTAAATATCAAAGAAAAGAGCCCTGAGAATAAAAGGCACCTTGATCACACAGTGTCTTACAACCTTTAGAGAAACCTGCATGTCAAGGGGAAAGACCAGCCTGATCAAGTTCTTATTAATTTTCATCCAACCCATGTTTCTACTTTCTGGACATGCAGTTTTATGCTGTGGAATCAGGATTGACACATTAATAAGGCAAATTAAAAGTCCCAGAGAACAGCTCGTTAGGAAGTCAAACTGCCTTCTTCACATTCAGTAGAATAACTTACACTTTATGATTCTGAAGAAGCATGGGTCTGGTGTTTTTACTTTCGTTAGCCAAGGGTTACCTTCACATTATTGCAGAGGTCCCTTCCTCATAACACAGCTCACGGGTGAGAATCTGGATTTTTTTTTTTTTTTTTTTTTTTTTTTGAGACGGAGTTTCACTCTTGTTGCCCAGGCTGGAGTACAATGGCATGATCTCGCTCACTGCAACCTCCACCTCCCAGGTTCAAACGATTCTCCTGCCTCAGCCTCCCGAGTAGCTGGGATTACAGCCATGCACCACCACACCCAGCTAATTTTTGTATTTTTAGTAGAGACAGGGTTTCACTGTGTTGGCCAGCCTGGTCTCAAACTCGTGACCTCAGGTGATCCGCCTGCCTCGGCCTCACAAAGTGCTGGAATTACAGGCGTGAGCCACCATGCCCGGCCTGAGAATCTGGATTTTTTAAAGCAACAATGGCATAAAAAGAGGTATGTGACAGAATCTTCTGGAGAAAAGACCTCCTTCCCCAGCTGCGTCTTAGACCTACTAACTTCTCATTATTTGTTTGCTCAGTGTTAAAATGAGTAAGTCCATTGTATAAAGCTGTGTGTATTCTGAATATGTTCTTTATCTGCTCAAGATTGTGGCTAATTTCTGACATCCTCTGTTTGGTAGATGAAGTACAGAAAGACAAAGAAGGACATTCTTAATGAAGGAGAAAAGTCCTTTAATCCCAACCTTTCTAACCTGATGGAAAACATCATAACTTTACTATAAACTGCAGACAGGCTGGTCCCACCTTATGGGCACAAAGACATCGGAAGGGAAATAAGGGAACGGGCTTTCTTTGTGGATCAAAACAGAATCCAAGGATGTAGCTGTTAGATGCCGCCAAAACGGCCACACTCAAGAGATTTGGACCTGGGTCAGGCTTTCTGTGCGTTTTGTACCACTTCTGGGGCCAGCTACCACCCAACCACCACTCAGCCACAGAGACACTTATTACAGGTTTATAATTTGACTTGAAAGGTTTTCCCAAAGAAACAAATACTTGTCAGGATCTGTAGCAGAGCCATGTTTTGATTGGGGCTTTTATGGGAGGAGAATGGTGATCTAAATATATAATTTTATTTCAAATTATGCTTGAAAGATGATCAGATTAAAGAAAGTTTGTGTGAGTGTTTTCATGGGCTTGTATTGGAGGGAAGCAGATGACTGGGTCCCAGGAGGCAGAGAAGATGAACTATTGGGCCCTAAGTGTGTTGTAAGGAATAGTACCATCTGTTGGACCTAAGATCCACATGGCAGCAGAGGGTCCAGAATCAGCCACAGCAGATTATTCTAGATTAATGTGAGTAGGGACAGGTTTGGAGAAGTATGGCTAGGAGCACCTGGCAGGTGACTCTGATGCAGGCAGCAAAGGAGTCATTGGTTTCCAGGTCTGCTCTCCACATAACAGAGGGCACTGTCTGTAGAGTACAACAGGCAAGCCTGTGAGGCGGTTTTTCTCATTCTAGTTGTGCTCAATATGCCATTTTGGGGCAGTTTTCAATGCTTTCGAAATCCTGCTAGAATTTAATTTGTATGCAGTTGTGTGTCATTATTAGTCCCCATTTATTTAACATCTTTTCTTGTAATGCAAAATGCTTTAGAAAGCTTTAAAAATAGTTTTAGTTTGTATTGGTCCCAGATAGGAGAATTGAGAGGGGAGATACAATGAAAGTAATAGTAAATAGTAGCTAAGAAGTGAAGTGTCCAGAGACTTGGCCAAGAACTGACCTTCCACACCGTCGGAGATGAAACATTACTGAAACATACAGCAGCTAGACTTACCAAAAAAACGACCAGCAGCAGGTGTCCAGACCCATGCAGGGTCTGCTTGTTTAAGGCAGATTGTAGGAGAGAAATTACTTAACAAAAAATTAACTTTAAACTGTTTGTCTTAATTTAATAGACTGTACTTTGTATTATATCTGATTTTGATATCAGTAATTGCCAAAGTATGACAGAGATGAATGTATGTTTTATGTAATTTTTATTTAAAAGTTCTAATAATTACATAACTTTCTAGTTTGTAAAACACTTTTATGGTTATTTTACACAGCAGCTTTAGGCAGAAGGCAAAGCAAATACTGTTATCCCCATTTTACAGATGATAAAATTGACCTGGTGACTTTTGGCTTTCACACGTGTGCTGACACCCTCAGTTTTTTTCTCCAGTAGCCCTGTGCTGCATCATACCTGGACAGTATGCACATTAGACCAACCACATTTATTCTAAAAAGCTAGTCAAGCCTGGAACTTTTGTCTTAAGTACACACAATTAGCCCTTAGCCAGTGAGTGGCTGGCTGATGTTTCATACTGACATCATAATTGATTAAGTGTGTATTTAATGGATTCAGTTTCTGAAACTGGCACTTTTGCCGGAGCAGCTGTAGGACATAAGTGCAGATTCTAAATCCATGTACCATAACTTGAGTAGCACTGAGTAAATGGACCTGAGAAGAACTGGACAAGTCTCTGTCCCTCTGAGGTTGACTGGGAAGCCTTGGTGGTACTGGGCCGTGGTGCAGGTCCCAGAGGCTGGTGCCAGAGCCCATTCCCTCAGTCTTTGTGTTAATGGCAAGTTAAAGGTTCTCCAGCCAGTCTCATGAGCTTTTCATGAAGAAACGTAAGGAGATCGTCTAGCTCTAAGGAAGTAAGGACCAAAACACCTAGGGCTATGTATGTATTGCTTTGGCTAACACTTTGAAGTAGTCTTTAAGAAGCTTGATAGGATGCAGAGTTGCATCAAAGAAATGCTCACAGGGCCTTGAAGGGTAGCTCCTTGTATGTAGCCCATCTAGCTGCCACGTAGTTGGCATTGATAGCTGGGAGGACAGCGGCTTCCATCCTAGATGTAGGAGGCATAATTAAAAGGACAAAAAACTTTTTGCTGGTGGCCAAAAATGAACACATACCTTGTTCCACATTCTCCAAGCTCCACCAGCATCAGTTTTGTAACTCATTGAAGAGTATCCTCATTAGTTGTCTTCAGGCTCTCAAGTTTGTCAGACATTGCATTCATTCCATCAGCCCACATTTACAGTGCCTATGGTGTGCCAGTCCTTGGGGGGTGCAAGAACAAGTCTCACAGTTTAGGGGAGATGGACAAACATGAGTAAGTAAATATTGTGAGCATGAGCAGAAGTGTGTGCCATGCTGGATAAGAGCCGTCTTAGGCACAGTAGTGGAGGGTAATCTGCAAGGCTTGAACAAAACCAGTTGTCATCAGTGTGCTATAATACTACTGTGACCCAGTTGCTTTGGTGTTCTGAGGCTGCTCTGAGATGCTAATTAAACAGGATGATGATTCAGGTTGCTGTTATATCTCATAAGAAAGAGCCTTTCTGTGAATGAGCAGGCATCAGGCTTGGAGAAGGCTCCCTTAAAGCTTCCCTCAGATAAGGATTAAACAACGCTAGTTGACTCAGTCCTTGCAGTTTGCTACCTCAAGTCAGCGAGCCCTGCCTCTGAGACAGTGACAAAGTCTGGTGAAAGGTTCAAGCTCTGTATCTGGGCCACTTTCCGTTAAAACATGTCCCAAAACTAATAATACCTTTTATAATTTATTTCCCAAGTTTAGAGTATCAAAAAATGTGAGGTTCTTATTAGAGTTCTTTAAAAATAGTTTTTATTCCCTTCCATAATAAAAAATTTACTATTAAAAGATTTTGAAGTTTGGGCCATTCCTTATTTTTAAAATGTGTCTTAATTTAGAAATCATGCTTGGAGCCCCCAATGTGTCTCATTCTTCCTGGGGAGCAGTATTGTATGGACTTACCTCTGCTTGGAGTGAATGTAGTAACACTGTGGTCAAAAACAAAGGACATTTAGCTGTGCAGTGACTTTAATATATTATTTGTAGCATAGGAGGATGATAATGCAAATAGCTACTCCAGGTAAAAAGTATAGAATAAAAATTTAATTAGAAATTGTACTGGCCTGGGTATTGATTTTTGGGTAGAAGGGAAAACCTTACACATGGAAGATACTATAGATAAGTATTTATATTCTATCTTTGGCACCTGGCACCTAGAAAGTACTTTTCAAATGTTGGATAGTTGAGTGAATGAAGGGGGCTAACAGGCGTCATGGTATGGTATGAAGAAAGTTGAACTTGGGGTTCAGAAGAAAAAGAGGTAAAGTTCTAAGTTCTCTTACTAGCTATGTGATCTTTAGCAGGTCACTTTGCTTTAGCCTCTTGTTTCTTCTACAAGAAAAACAGATGTCGAAGACAGACCCAGAGTTCCTTCTTTATTGATCTCCTGATGTCACAATTTGCCTAGTGAAATTGTAGGTTTCACTAGGCAAATTGAGGGAGAAATCTGTTGCATTAAAGAACCTAAGGCCAGGTGCGGTGGCTGATGCCTGTAATCCCAGCACTTTGAGAGGCTGAGGTGGGCAGATCACCTGAGATCAGGAGTTCAAGACTAGCCTGGCCAACATGGTGAAACCTCATCTCTACTAAAAATACAAAGATTAGCTGGGCGTGGTGGCAGGTGCCTGTAATCCCATCTACTCGGGAGGCTGAGGCAGGGGAATCGCTTGAACCCGGGAGGTGGAGGTTGCGGTGAGCCGAGATCATGCCATTGCACTCCAGAGCGACAAGAGCGAAACTCCATCAAAAAAAAAAAAAAAGAACCTAAAAGGAAAATGAACAATCACTTGAGAGTCTTGGGAAATCCCCGTGTATTAGTTTTCTATCATTGTCATAACACCTTACCACAAACTTGTTAATACAGTTCTGCTTACAGTTCTGTAGGTTCAAAGTCCAACACAGGTGTCTTACTGGGCTGGAATTGAGGTGTGGGCTGGGCTTTGGAAAAGTCCAGAGTCTTAGGGGAGAACATGCTTCCTTGCCTTTTAAAAATTCTGCAGCTGCCGCCCTGTCCCTTCTCCCATCTTCCAGGCCAGCAGCATTGCACCTATGACCCTGCTGGCAAATCATCAGGTCTCCCTGAAGCTGACAACTGTAACTCCCTCTGGGGGGGAATCGTTTGCTTTTATGGGCCTGTGTGATTAGATTGGGCCCACCTGGATAACCTAGCATATTCTTCCCATCTCAAGGTCCTTGACTTAATCTCATCCACAAAGTTGATTTTGTATATATAAGATCACAGGTTCTTGGGATTCTGCCTACCATATCCCAAGATCTGATTGCTCTGTAGGAGACAGAACACTGAATGGCTCTCAGGAAACCAGTAATCCAGTAATCCTAGCTCACCCAGTCATTGTGTCTCTCTGGGTTTCTTTTTTCCGCATCTGAAAAGTTGGGGAGTTGAATTAGACCAGTGGTCCTCAAACTGCATTGTACATCAGAATAGCCTGGAGGACTTCTCACAACACAGATTTAGGTGGGGCTCAAAAGCGTGCATTTCTGCCAAGCACAGTGGCTCACGCCTGTAATCCCAGCACTTTGGGAAGCCAAGGCAGGTGGATCACTTGAGGTCAGAAGTTCAAGACCAGCCTGGCCAACATGTTGAAACCCCGTCTCTAGTAAAAAAACAAAAAGTTGCCAGGTGTGGTGGTTCATGCCTGTAATCCTAGCTACTTGGGAAGCTGAGGCACGAGAATCACTTGAACATGGGAGTCGGAGGTTGCAGTGAGCCAAGACTGTGCCACTGCACTCTAGCCTGGGTGACAGAACGAGACTCTGTCTCAAAAATAACCCAAAAAACAAAACTGCATTTCTGACAAGTCCCTGAGTGTTGCTGATGCTGCTGTTCCAGGGGACCACACTTCAAAAACCACTGAACTAAACTGTCTTTAAGGATCTTTCTCTAAGTCCCTAATACAGCCTGAGAGTCTTTCCCCTTTGGATGCAATGTTATAAATTAATCATAGTGGAGTTTGCACACTGCTTGCCAGGTTGTGGAGTTGAGGTAGGAAGCAAATGGACATTGTTCAGATCTAAGCTCCACGTCTTCTCTTTCCTCTTGTAAACCGGGATGGTGATGAGGCCTGCTGTGTGGTTGCTTTTCATGAGATGGTCTTTGTAGATTATCTAGCATATGTCTGACACATGGTCATCTTGGGTCACATTTACTTAGCACTTTTGACCCAGCCACTGTTTTAAGCCTGAATTAATTCATTTAACCCTTATGACATTTCTATGAGGTGAGTGCTATTATTAGTCCCACGTCTGTAGGTTGAGGAACAGAGGTTAGGAGTTTGGCCAAGAAGGCAGAGCTAGAAAGTGGAGCCACTTACCAGGCAGTTATTTAGGTTCCAGAGCATGCATACTTAACCCTTCTACAGCAGCACCCAAGTTTCCTGTAACAAGGCTAGAGGTGGCCTGGTCCTGGGTTTGGGTGATTTAGTGCTTGACAGTGTCATGGTAGGCCCAGGTCTCTCCATCTTGCCACTCTTCTGTCCTCAGCAGGCTGGCTTTGTCTTCAGGGCTGTCCCCTCATGGTGATACTGTGGCTGCCACAGATCCCACTGTCTAATCCTCACAGAGGCTGCGCAAGAAAAATTACCTGTTCCTCCCTCTTGTCTCTTTTTGAGAGGGTGAAACTTTCATGCTTGTAATCTTAGCACTTTTGGAGGCTGAGATGGGAGAATTGCTTGAGCCCAGGAGTTCAAGGACAGCCTGGGCAACATAGTGAGACCCTGTCTCTACAAAAACATTTTTTGAAAAAGCTGGATGTGGTAGCACACACCCTGTAGTCTCAGCTACTCGGGAGGCTGAGGTCAGGAGAATCACCTGAGCCTGGGAGGTAGAGACTGCAGTGAGCCATGATTGTGCCACTGCACTCCATCCTGGGTGACAGAGCA
This sequence comes from Homo sapiens, assembly GCF_000001405.40. Taxonomy (NCBI): domain Eukaryota; kingdom Metazoa; phylum Chordata; class Mammalia; order Primates; family Hominidae; genus Homo; species Homo sapiens. Next base: position 83,809 of record NW_014040930.1, on the reverse strand, counting down.
AGACATCGTCTCAAAATATATTAAAAAAAAAAAAAAAAAGGTTGGGGGGAGTGCAAAATGTTTTCAGAAGCCCTTTTTCCTGCAGACTTTCCTACCAGAAATGCTTGACCATACCCATTCCTAAATGGCCACCACTCACTGTGATTCATCCCCCAGGGTAGGGAGGGCCATATCTTCGGGCCTCTTGAGTAAGAAAGTGGCAGCAGGAGGCCAGATGCGATGAGGTCAGGAGTTTGAGACCAGCTTGGCCAATATGCAAAACCCCATCTCTACTAAAAATACAAAAATTAGCCTGGCGTGGTGGCATACGCCTGTAATCCCAGCTACTCAGGAGGCTGAGGCAGGAGAATGGCTTGAAACTGGGAGGCAGAGGTTGCAGTGAGCCAAGATTGCGCTACTGCACTCCAGCCTGGGCGACAAAGCAAGACTCCATCTCAAAAAAAGAAAGTGGCAGCAGACATGGCTGCAGGTTGGCCACCGATGGACTACCCACACTCCCTTCTCTGAAGTTGATAGTCCTTTTGATTCTGAGATGCTCTGTGGCACTGACAAAGGTCGACAGAGTCTAGGGCTACTAGAAATGCTGTGAACTTGTCCTTGGTTTACTCCAGACCAAATGATCTTTTCTCTCTTAACAAGGGTGCGAGGGCACATGATAAACATTTACTGATTATGGGCACCCAGAAGGACCTTGATCTTCTGAGAGCAGGGCAAAGCTTTTGAAGGACTAATCTCTTCCAGCCCTTGTTCCTACCTCTTTTGTCTCTGGAGGATGCCAGAGATGATCATCCAGAATCTCAGCTCTGACCTGGAACAAGTTATTTTCCCTTTGGTGTCTCAAGAGTTTCACGTGAAGCATTAGGAGTGCCTGCCAGGTGGAATAGTGCAGAGGGCTGGATGAGATCATTCAGTCTGAGCGTGGCGAGCGCTTGGGCTTTGCTGTTGCTGGCGTTAGTGTAGTTTTCCATCAGTATCTGTGTCGGGGGCCTGAGCCAGCTCAGTGTAATTGCTTAGGGAACACTTTTATTTTTCATAGAAGCAGGAACAAGTTTCTGTCTCTTCCAGCTAGTCTTGCTGGTTGTGTGCCTCTGCTATCTGAAGAGCCAGCATCCTTAGTAGGGTCACATGTGGTTGAGTTTTATGAATGTGTTTGTTGCTGATAGGACACATTTCTTACCTGACAGGATGAGCACTCACAGCAGCCACATCACAGGGCTGACAGAGATGTGCCCCACTTTAAGAAAACCTGACCATATAAGGAGGAGTGTCTCAATTACAAAATAATGTCTCACTTAGCCAGAAATTCATGGCAGGTTTTCTGGTGCATTTAAAATAAGATTCATGTATAAAAATACCATTTGCACACAGGAGCCCATATTTTCTGAAAAGGGAAATGTATTGGGCATTTGGGGTAAGTAGATCAAAAATAAAAATAAAATCTTCTTACAAATACAAGAACTAGAAACCAAATTCCACTTCTAATTCTAAAAGGTTTATATATAACTCTACTACCTTACCCTCTCTTACCCCAGATTTTCACAGCAGAAGTAAACAGGGAAGATCTGCAGGCCGCTCACGATAGCAGCAAGGAAATGCCTGGCATAGTGTGTGGGTGGGTGGATGGCGGGGGTACCAGAGGCAGGGCTGGGGACCCCACTCTGGCATGTCCTTTATGACATGGATTGCTCATCTCACCCTGCTGTATTGTTGATTTGAGAACATTTGTGAGGCTTGGTCTAAAACATTATTGCTGGATCCCTTCCCATGGTGTGGTCAGTGAATGGCATTTAGAAATTGACCAGCTCATCCTGCCACCACGGACTCCTCTAACCACAGAGACACGTGCTGAGGTCTAACAGATGGGGACCAGGGAAGGCCTGGAGGAGAGGGCCAAATCTGGGATACTGACATGCCTGACTTTTCCCTTCCTTTCAGAAATGTTCCCACTGCCAGGAGGCAGGCGCCACCTTGGGCTGCTACAACAAAGGCTGCTCCTTCCGATACCATTACCCGTGTGCCATTGATGCAGGTAAGAGGAGACCACAGACCCTTGTCCAGAGCATCCAAAGGATTAGGACATACAGTTTGATTCTCTCTGTTGTCGTTGTTTTTTTTCTTTTCTTTTCTTTTTTTTTTTTTTTTTTTTTGTCACTTCATAAAAAAACTTCCCACCCATTAGCAGCACTCATCTCCCTTCCCTTCCCTCCAGTCCCTGGCAACCACTATTCTGTTTTCTTTTTTAAATTTTTATGATTTTTTTTTCCCTTTAAGCTCTGTTGGACTCAATCCTTTCTATCTCTGTGGGCTTTGCTGTACATTTGGGTTACTTCCACTTTTTGACTGTTATGAATAATGCTGCTATAGAACATTCACATGCAAGCATTTGTGTGAACATGTTTTCAGTTCTCTTGGATGTGTACCTGGGAGTAGAATTGCTGGATCATATGGTAACTCTGTTTAACCTTTTAAGGAACTGTCAGACTGTTTTCCAAAATGGCTGCCCCATTTTACGTTCTCAGTGGCAGTGCATGAGTGTTCTCCTTTCCCCAGGTCCTCCCTGACACTTGCTGTCATATGTGTTTCTTTTTTTTTTTTTTTTTAATTGTAGCCAGCCCAGTGGGTATGAAATGTTATTTCATTGTGGTTTTTATTTGTATTTCCCTGATGGCTAATGTCGAGCATTTTTTTCTTGTGCCTATTGGCCATTTGTACATCTTCTTTGGAGAAATAGCTATTCACATCCTTTGCCCATTGTAAAATTGGGTTGTTTATCTTTTTAATGTCAAGTTTTAAGAATTATTTGTAGGCCGGGCAGGTGGATCATGGGGTCAGGAGTTCAAGACCAGCCTGGCTAAAATAGTGAAACCCCGTCTCTACTAAAACTACAAAAATTAGCCAGATGTGACGCGCACCTATAGTCCCAGCTACTCGGGAGTCTGAGGCAGGAGAATCACTTGAACCCGGGAGGCAGAGGTTGCGAGATCACGCCACTGCACTCCAGCCTGGGCAACAGAGTGAGACTCTGTCTCAAAAAAAAAAAAAAAAAAAAAAGAATTATTTGTAATTCTGGATATGTGGTTTGCAAATGTTTTCTTCCATTCTCTGAGTTGTCTTTTTACTTTCTTTTCTTGATAGCATCACACAGGTAATTCACCATTGGACACCAACTGGGTGTCCTATAGTTTAGCTTGGTTCTGATACTAAGCAGAGTTAGTGCAGCCCCTACAGGTTAAGGGCTCAGTCCCACAAGACCGCTCCCCACTTCATATACCAATCTCAAGCCCTGTGTTATGACCTGTGTTTCTGAGTGATCAACTATAAACTGGGGTTCCCAAGACCGCTTCCTTGGGTTTGATTAATGTTTAACATGGCTCACAGAATTCACGGAAACACTTCACTTGTGTTTACCCATTATAAAGGATGCAGATGAACAGCCACATGAAAGAAACATAGGGCCAGATGTGTGGGCAGGGGCATGGAGCGTCCATGCTCTCTCCAGGGGCACCACCCCTGAGGCACCTTCATCTACTCAGCAGTCCAGAAGCCCTCTGAATCCAGTAGTTCACGGATTTTTTGGAGGCTTCATCATGTAGGCATAATCAATTATTAACTCAATCTTCACCCCCTCTGTCCTTCCTGGAGTGGGGTGGGTAGAGCTAACAGTTCCAAGCTGCTAATCACAGCTTCGTCTCTCTGGTGCCCAGCCCCCATCCAGGAACCACCAAGAGTAGCCTTAGAACAAAAAGTGCTCCTATCCAGGAAATTCCAAGGGTTTAGGAGCTCCATGTCAGGAACCAGGATCAAAAACCAAATATTAGAAGAAAAGATGCTCCTAGCACCCCTAATTGCTCAGGAATTTACACGGGTTTTAGGAGGTCTGTGCCAGGAATCAGGGATGAAGACTAAAATATGTATTTCTTACTCTAAATCACAGTACGTTGTATACATACAATAGAGTGTTGTATTTTCTTTGCTGAGATGATAGGGGGATGTTTTGCAGTGTGTTAACTGTTGAAAGAAGGGAAACATTTTGTTAAAGAAGTGCCATCCAATGAGTGACGCAGAAGACTTGAGTTTTGACTCAGAGCTTCGATAACCTGGGAAAATCACCTTTCTTACTCTAGACTTTTAGTCCCTTCAGTGGGTGTTTTCCCCAGTTACTTTTTTGGCGGCAAGGTGGGTGTTAATTTCAAGTTTATTAAGTTTTTTACTTTTCTTTTTGAGACGAAGTTTCGCTCTTATCGCCCAGGCTAAAGTACAATGGCATGATCTCAGCCCACTGCAACCTCTGCCTCCCAGATTCAAGTGATTCTCCTGCCACAGCCTCCCGAGTAGCTGGGACTACAGGCGCCCACCACCATGCCCGGCTAATTTTTGTATTTTTAGTAGAGACGGGGTTTTGCCATGTTGGCCAGGCTGGTTTCAAACTCCCGACCTCAGGTGATCCACCCACCTCAGCCTCCCAAAGTGCTGGGATTACAGACGTGAGCCACCGCGCCCAGCGTTTTTTACTTTTTTTAATGGACAGTAATTGTAGATATGGGGTGCTCAGTAATGTTTCAATATATATATAAAATGATCAGACCTAGGTAATTAGCAAATCCATCGTCTCAAACAACATGTCTGTGTTGGGAACATTTGGTATCTTCTAGTCATTTGAAACTATACAATATAATGTTGTTAACTGTGGTTATCCTACAGTGATACAGAATACTAGAACTTATTTCTCCCATCTAGATGTAATTTTGTATTCTTTAACAAATCTCTACTTATCTCTTCCTTTCCTTTCCCCTTCCTGGCCTCTAGTATCCTCTGTTCTACTTTTTAATACTTCCGTAAGATCAGCTTTTTAAATTTCCACATGAGCGAGAACATGCAGCTTTTAACTTTCCGTGCCTGGCTTATTTCACTTGACATAATGTCCTCTAGTTACTTGAGCATTAGATGTATCTAAGACCATCACCCAGGCAGCCCCCATAATGCCTGTGGTCACGTTTGAGGAAAAGTGGTGAGAGAAGGCAGCAAGTAGCATGGTGCTTGTCATGTGCATGCCCCCTCTCTGTGCTTCCCCAGGAGAGAAGCAGGGCTGTCCACGGAGGCAGCCACGCTGTCCATAGGAGGCGGGGTTTGATTTGAATTTGATGGGAAGGGGAAGAGGGCGTGGCTGACTGCATGATGGGAACAGGCGTGAGGCATAACATACACAGAGCAGGGCCAACAGACTTGGATCAGGTCTCAGAATTCATCCTGCCCCCCCTTCCTTCCAGCGCAGCAGTTGCTTGCAGCTCCTGACTTTTGTTTAAGCATATGTCTCCATTCCTTTCACATCCTTCTTGCCCTTACCTCCCCCTTCCCTCTTTTCTCTCCAAGCTTCTGTAGGAGAAACAGTTAAAAAGAACAAGAGAGGTAGAGAAGATAATGCTGATGCCAGTTAGACTATTACAAAAGTGTGTGTATTCACACGTACATGTGGACTGAAAGGCAGCTTGATGGCCAAGGCACTATTTGATCAACGGAAAGATAGGGAATCAGAAACAGAGTGCCAGGTGTGGTGGCTCACACCTGTAATCCCAGCACTTTCGGAGGCTGAGGTGGGAGGATTGCTTGAGCCCAGGAGTTCGAGACCAGCCTGGCCAACATGGTGAAACCCTGTCTCTACAAAAAATACAAAAAATTAGCCAGGCGTGGTGGCCCTTGTCTGTAGTCCCAGCTACCCAGGGAGGCTGAGATGGAAGGACCCAGGAGGGGCTGCATGACCCTCAGTTGGGCCACTGCACTCCAGCCTGGGCAACAGAGTGAGACCCTATCTCAAAACAAAAATGAAGTAGCCTTGAAATGTCAGTTCAGGGAGTTTGGGTTTTAGTCCATCCCTTCTGTTCTCTTTTTTCCTCCAAATGTTTTCATGTTGAGTCTAAGGTGTAATTTACCCTGGGTCATGGTCTGCCATATTCTGTAGTACAGCTGTTAAATCCTTCTCTTTCAAGAGCTAACCAGTTGGGCCAGGCACGGTGGCTCACACCTGTAATCCCATCACTTTGGGAGGCCGAAGTGGGCGGATCACAAGGTCAGGAGATTGAGACCAGCCTGGCCAACATGGTGAAACCCTGTCACTACTAAAATATGAAAAATTAGCCAGGTGTGGTGGCGCGTGCCTGTAGTCCCAGCTACTTGGGAGGCTGAGGTAGGGGAATCGCTTGAACCCGGGAGGTGGAGGTTGCAGTGAGCTGAGATCACGCCACTGCACTCCAGCCTGGCAACAGAGCGAGACTCTGTCTCAAAAGAAAAAGAAAGAGAGCTAACCAGTTAACTAGGTATGGTGGTTCACACCTGTAATCTCAGGTACTCGGGAGGCTGAGGCTAGAGGATCACTTGAGGCCAGGAGTTCAAGTTCAGCCTGGATAACATAGCAAGAACAGGTCTGTTCAAATAAAAATAAGTTTTTAAAAGAGCCAACCAGTTGCCTTTTCTCATTTTCATTACCTCTAGTTACATCGTAATATTGTGTTTTCTTCCCTGTAGTCTAGTGGCCAGGAAAGAGGGGGAGCAGTAATATAAAGTTTTGTTTCTAGTTGAAAAAAATGGCTTTTTTTTTTTGTTTTTTGAGACAGAGTCTTGCTGTGTTGCCCCGACTGGAGTGCAGTGGCGCGATCTCGGCTCACTGCAAGCTCCGCCTCCCGGGTTCACGCCATTCTCCTGCCTCAGCCGCCCCAGCAGCTGGGACTACAGGCGCCCGCCGCCACGCCCGGCTAATTTTTTCTGTTTTTAGTAGAGACGGGGTTTCACCGTGTTAGCCAGGATGGTCTCGATCTCCTGACCTTGTGATCTGCCCACCTTGGCCCCCCAAAGTGCTGGGATTACAGGCGTGAGCCACCGCGCCTGGCCAAGAAAATGGCTTTTAAGTGAAAAAAAAAAAAATTTTTTTTGAGACAGGGTCTCACTGTGTTGCCCAGGCTGGACTCAAACTCTTAGGCTCAAGCGATCCTCCCAACTAGCTGGGAATACAGGCATGTACCATTATGCCCAGCTATATATGAGGATTTTTAAGTATTAAGTTTTTTTATGGTTGATTGTTAGTTTTATATTGGGAATACTGTGAGTTTTGGCTCTCCCAGTTCGCAGCTGGGTAAGAAGTGGTCCCCCACTGAGGCTGTGTTCAGGGACACATTAGGGTGTGCTGACAGGCTGGTGCCACATCCCACCCGAGCACACTTCAGCAAGGGCCCCCCTGGAGGCTGCCCCCGTTCTGCTGATAGCCTGCCTTCTGGTCCAGCTTCTAAGATGTCAAGCAGCAAAGCTCAGCCTAACATACTGCAATGATGGAAACGCTCTAGCTCAGCACTCTCCAATGTGGTAACCACAAACCAGATGTGATCATTGAGTGCTAGTGGGACTGAGGAAATGAATTTTTTTTTTTAATGTAAACTTAAGTGGCCATGTATGGCTAGTGGCTGAACAGCACAGGCTTAGAGCTACCCTCCTCAACCCAAGTTCAGGCAATATGGTTGGGATTTTTTGGAAGGGGCCATAGAGCACTGGAACATCCTCTCCTCTAGTGGAAGCTTGTGCCCAGGTTGTCACCCCAGCCCACCAGCAGAGAAGCGCAGGACCCTCATTATTAGCTGAGGACTTGTGAGTAAATGGTGTCTGTCATTTTCTGTTTTGGGGCCCATCTTGGTAGCCTGCCTAGTTAAGCTGGTAGCATCTCTATTTAACAGAAGTTGGTGGCCGCGTGTCCAGCAAGACAGAGGGGTCTGGGTTGGGAGGAGTGAGGGTAGGGCTGTCGGCCTCTGGCTTTGCTGCCTCTGCTGCTGTGCACTTTGCTCCTTCATGTGGAGACCTGGGACCCAGAGGCAGTTTCACAAGATGACCATGTCTTGGTCATTGCGGTCTTTTTGATGACCCAAGTCACAGTGACCCAGAGGCCTGCACTGCTCTGTGGGGATGGACGCTTGTATTATTCCACACAGTCTTCTTGGAAATTGCTCTCTGTGTATGATGTAACTTTGTATCCAGGAAACAAGTTTATTGATGGACTTTTCTTTCTAATCATAACAAAAATAAGTCCTTGGTTTGAGAATCCCTAACCTCCCTTATGGAGTAAAGAGCAGTTTAACATTTTCATCTCTGCCTTGCTGTCAACCCACCCAGATCTTTAAAGAGCTGTTGATGTCTCAGGGAAGACTTTTATTACTGGGACATCTCCATAGAAACAGAATCTTTGTTTCATGATCTGTGACTCCTGCCACCTTCCCCCCCACCTGATGTTGACCCTGCATTTCTGACATCATGGTCAGCTGTTTTGTGTTGCTTGTTATGTCATAGGCACAGGATTTGGCTCCAGGTGGGGGGGGTTACAGTAATAAGAGCATGAGCTCTGTTTTTTTTTTTTTTTAATTAATGTATTTAATGCAATGAGCCACAACAATTAAGACGAGAAAAAAAGGCTGTGGTAGCTCATTAATAATTCCACTGTGCGTAAAGAACCTTGTGTGGAGGGTTTTTTTTTTTTCTTCTACTCTCATGAAAAAACAGCTGGGAATTCTACTTTCTGCAGCTCTCGTTGCAGTAGCATTTTAAAGCTGCTATCTCTGCTGCAGACTTTGATCTTGCTGGTGCCATCAGAGCCCTGGATGGGTCATTAGGAAATGCCAGTAGTCTGACTCCTCCCCGGGGGACAGCCGTCTGCCTCACAGGAGCCAGTCCCAGTGCCAAGAGCCCCATATTTCCCTCCTTATGGCCCAGGAGCCTGAGCCTACCCTTCGGCAAGGCAGGGTGGGGCTGGCAGGCCCCTGTGTCCCAAGCCCTGCAGTGTGCCAACATAAGGAATAACAGTAGTACTGGGGTAGAGTGTAGGTGAATTGGAGTCTGTGTCTGCTACACAACAGATCCAAAGGACATTAAACCCTTCTTGTTTTTCCTACCTCCCTCCTTGAGCCCACCATCCTCAGCCTGGGAGCATGTGGATGCATGTGGGTATCTGAAGCTTCACAGAGCTTATAATGAGGAGCTTAGTAAATCCATTCTGCCTTTGAGCTTGAAGAGGGAAATGAAAGTGGCCTTCTCTTCTGGGGGTTGATGTTTGTGTCTGCAAGCCATCTTGTTGACTAGGCCACCTTGTAGGTCTTTTTGAGCTTGGATGATGATCTCGCAAGCTGTTTACTTTGACTTCACTATGCAGAAGTGCTGACTGCGCCCTCTGGACAGTGTAGGATGGTGCCTGGGCCTTGAAGAACACAGATTGAGAGACCTTGACTGGCTGGCCATGTAGGTGCAGTTGCCTGTTCAGAGTCCTCAGAAGAGGTTTTACTACACCTACTGCTCTTCACTCTTCCCTCCCAGCAGGGACTGGTAAGAGGAGAAGCTCCCCTGTGCCCTCCAGGTTTCTGAGCTCTCTAGCTGTGGTTCTGGCCCCTGCCAGGAACGTGAATTGTGCTTCCTGACGGCCTGTGGACATGTATGAGAACAGAGGAGGGCATTGTCTGCACAGTGTTCCTGCATGGGAGGCCTTGTCAGAGATGGACACTGCCTCAGGCAGATTGCTGTAGGAGACTTCATTTCCAGATGTATCTGGCATTAGTTTCAAGTTGTCGTTAGCGTGCATTCATAGTGTCTTACTCTTTTCTGCTTCTAACTCAGAGGGAACGCATTTCCTAACATGAGGCGTGTTTTATTAATGGTCCATCACAGCTGGTCACTGTTCTGTGGCCGTGAGGGAACTGAGCCACCTGCGCCTTTCTGATGGCACCCTTTGCTGCTCGTGTGGTCCCTGTCCTCACTGGTATAAACCCCTGTGGCGTAAGCGTGGCCCAGCCCCACGTGTGCTGTACTGTTTCTGTTTGGCCCAAACTAGAGACTAAGCCAGCATAGTGCTTGCTGCCAGAGCCCAGGTAAGAAGAGAGCATATCCCCTGAGCTCCAGTTGTCTGGCTCCTGCTGTTTATAAACTCTCTGGCAGATTGGAGCAGCGGGAGTCTTGGTCACACTATGTACTTGTGGGTTTTAAATTAACACATTTCATTTATTGCCTTGCTAGTTGCTTGCTGGGGGAGGGGCTTGGAGGTTAGTAGTAAGTTGCTGAGCTCTTGGGCCCACGGAGCCAAGAAGGCTGCCGCCCACTCTCTTAGATACTCATGGGCTCCAACGAAAGACAGGCTATGATGTTCCAGGTCTGGCCAAATATAAAAGGGTCTTTTTGATTTGTTTTAGGATACCGGGACCTGAAAAGTTTTCATGTGTATGTTCATTGCTTATTACTATTGCACTTGAAATCTGTGGGTGCACAGGCTGCTAGTCTGGATCTCAGTTTAAATTTAACAAGGATAAGTACCGTGGCTGCCTCCTGCCATGGTGCCTGGGAGCTCTCTGAGAATGTGTTATCAATATTTATTAACATTCTGCCACCGCGTTTTGCACCAGTGACCTGGCTGTCGGTCTCCAGGAGCTGTGGTGTGCAGAGTGAACTCATTAATTAGATTTCCTTGCCCTGATCCATGCACTACCCTTGTGTGAGAGCTCAGCTCACCTGGAGGCAGATGTGTCCTTGCTGCCATCCAGGATGCTGTCATCATGTTACAAGTTGGAATGAATCATTTTTCCTCCAAGGATTAAAAGCATCCTCATGGGATTTTACCTTCCTCTGAAGCATTTAGTGTGGATTATGTGATTTGTGTTGGAGGCTTCTGTGTCTCCGTGGGTCGTGGGGCAAAGGTGACAGTGGGGCTCTTGGGCCTGGCCACCTTTCTGTCTCAGACACCTGGGCATTCTCTGTACAGAGAAGAAAATACGCGTCTAGATTTTAAAGTGTTTTTACAAGGAGGCTTTGGCTTGAGCCTGAGAAATGGGGTTAGCCTAGAATCAAGGATTTTTAAAATAGCATTTATTGGTGATATCGTGGGAATATAGAAAAGATAAAATTTAAATCAGCTGTATCTTCTTACCCAAAGAGAATTATTGTTACATATTCATAGATTTCCTTTCAGTCTTTTTTTTTTTTTTTTTTTTTGAGACGGAGTCTCGCTCTGTCACCAGGCTGGAGTGCAGTGGTGTGATCTCGGCTCACTGCAACCTCCGACTCTCTGGTTCAAGTGATTCTCCTGCCTCAGCCTCCCAAGTAGTTTTTTTTTTTTTTAAGACAGTTTTGCTTGCCTAGGCTATAGTGCAGTGATGTGATAGTAGCTTACTGCAGTCTGAACTCCTGGGCTCAAGCAGTCTTCTCACCTCAGCCTCCCAAGTAGCTGGGACTATAGGCAAGTGCCATCACACCCAGCCTTTCAGTATTTTTTTTTTTTTTTTTAATAGTGACAGGATCTCACTGTGTTGCGCAAGCTGGTCTTGACTCTTGGATTCAAGTGATCTTTCTGCCTCGGCCTCCCAAAGTGCTGGGATTACAGGTGTGAGCCATGGTACCCAGCCCCAAGTCTTTTTTTAATGCGTAGAAACATTTTAATAAAATTAGCACATTTATACATTTGTACATCCTGGTTTTTTCAAGCAGTTTTGTTTCATGGGTGTTTTCCATACCATTAACTCTTTTCAAATGTTAATTTTTAAGTGACCGATATCCATCATGTTAAGGTATCATAGCTTACTTGGGTTGTCTCTAATGTTTTCCTATTAGAAGTAAGTGTAGCGACCTGCTACCTTTATGTCTGACCCTGTCAATCCCAGCCAGCATGACCACACCTATGTCCAGCTGTGAAGTCTCCATCTGACTGTCCCCTTCTGTCTTCCAGATTGTTTGCTACATGAGGAGAACTTCTCGGTGAGGTGCCCTAAGCACAAGGTGAGTCAGAGGCCCCAGGAGCTACCAGCAGGGATGGGATCGAGGGTGGCTCCTCCTGAAAGACCTGAAGACCAGGTGTTGGTGGGCCTCACCCACACCTGTCCCCACCTGTGCCTCCGGCTGTTAGTCCCCTCCTGGCCCTGGGAGGGTGGAGGGGCATGATGCTGAAGGGAGACCCGTGGCATGGGGGCCAGCACTCGGAGTATTATGAGGATCCCAGGAGAAATGTGTTTTGGGAGAGGGGGTGTTTGTCTGTTCATTAAGAGAGGTGAGAATATCTAACTCGATCAAGCCACTGATTTCCACTTGAGGTGAATAGAACCCCAATTCACAGGTTGGCGTTTGGTAAGTCTGGTTCTAGGCCTTGAGGCCTGTGCAAAGGCATCTTCCCAGACTAGAAGTCGAGCTGACCACAAGGCTCTGGGGAAGCTCAGTCTCTTCCAGGTTGTGCTTCTGCAGAAGCAGCCTGATGCACAGTGGATGGGCTGTCTCGGGCTCCACTTCCCAGTTTATTTAGGAGGTGGTCTCGTGGTCGCTTCCTTTAGGAAAGGGTGGGAGGTAAGGGGTGAATGGTCTGTTTGTGGATACCACATATGTGTGTGGGGAGGGTGTATATGGAGAAGGAGCCCCAAGAAAGGATCAGAACGGAGACCACTGCCACCTGATGTTTCCTGCAGGGGCTGCACTGTGTCTCTGGCTGAGGTCACACTGACACCTGGTGGTCACTGGTCACTCGCAGTCTTAAATCTAGTAGGGCCGAAAGTACTAGAAGGAGGTTGTCCAGAGAGGTCTGCCCTCAAAATGCTCCTGAAAGATGCTTGCTTATGCTTTTCTTTAAAAATTATTTCTGGGGAAGGGCGGGGAGTGGTCACAGGATCTTATATTCTCTTTATTTTTACTTAATTTGCATGTTATTTTTAGAACTCCCCTTTTTAAGGGTCACATTTTGCCTCAGAAAACCCTGTCTGAATGTCTCCTGTTTGTCGGTCAGGACTGACTCTGCCTTTTCTTTCCTTTTCCATGTGCCACTCCTGTCCTCCCTTTGCCCTCCCTGATTTCTGCACTGTCCTCTCCCACCTGTCTGTCTCCTCTTGGTTTTGCCCGTGTCAGCCTCCCCTTCCGTGCCCTCTCCCCCCCTTGCAGAACAAGACCGCGAAAGGCAGCCTCAGCACAGAGCAGTCGGAGCGGGGGTGAGGGGGGCAGTGTGCTCGTGGGAATGGAAAGGACAGCAAGCACAGGTGAGTCGGGGCCACCGGGCTCCCTGCATCCTGCCCGGCTCCCAGCAGGCGTCGTTGCCTCTGCCCTCCTGCTCGCTCTATGCTCTGCCACCAGCATTTCATCCTGTGGATGACAACGCCAGGTGGATGCAGTGTTCTTCCATTGGTTACTTAGCTCCCCAGATTATCTGTGGAAAGGAGTGGGGGCTTCTAAACTGTCCACTGCCAATGGGGTGCAGGGTGACTGTTCCTGAAGGCAGCCCTTCAGGGCACAGCTGGCCAGGGGTGGCCTTGTGAGTGGACACAACAGGCTTTTAGGTCTCTTTCTTGGGCAGGGCATCTCTTGCCAGTAGCCCCTGCTCTTTCCCCCGTCTCAGAAAGGGTTCCAGTCAAAGGTCTCTTCTTTTTAATTTACTACATTTCTGTAAAGCTTATGGTGTGTTTTCCTTTGAAAACAACAGAACTCTTGGGTTTTGTTATTAGAAATCTTTTTTTTCCAGTATTATGAAGGATTCCTTTTTGCAGAAGTACAAAGGAAAGAAAAATCCTCAAAGATTTAGTAGACTCTAGCATCTGATTTAATTTTACTCTTAAAAATCTCGAGGCTGGGCATGGTGGCTCATACCTGTAATGCCAGCACTTTGGGAGGCTGAGGCAGAAGGATCGCCTAAGCCCAGGAGTTCAAGACCAGCCTGGGCAACAGTGAGACCCTGTGTCTACATTAAAAAAAAAAAAAAAAATTAGCCGTGCGTGGTGGTACATGCCTTTAGTCCCATCTACTCAGGAGGCTGAGCTGGGAGGATCACTTGATCAAACCTGGAGGTTGAGGCTGCAGTGAGCCATGATCGTGCCGCTACATTCCAGCCTGGGCCACAGTGAGACCCTGTCTCAAAAAAAGAAAAAAAATTCTTGTGATTGAGTTGTGCTTGCTGTGAGTTTGTGTGGGATTATTGTGGTCACGGCCCTCTTGGCAGGCATCTGTGAAAACAGGATGATAGGACTTGGGGTCTCTAGAAGCTGCAGGCCTCTGAGCTCCATGCTGCTCCTTCACCCTCCCTGCGTCACTGAGGCATGAAGGGAAATAGGTTGTAAAGAAAAGAAAAACCAAAATGTACCTTGTGGCACTTGCTGCTACAGGATGGGGCAGGAGGACTAGTTGTCTCAGAAATATTCATTGAGGGGTCATTTCTCTCAAATGGGAGGACTTCTGTGTCGACCTCAGGAGTTTGACTCACACAGCTACGCTAGACGTGTCCCTTCCGGCACCACCATGTGCCTGACCACCTTCTGGAACGTGCCCTCCTCCTTGTTACCACTACTAATTTCCGGAGAAGGCCCCTCGGCTGCCACGCCATTTGAGAAGTCAAGTGGGGGCTGCTGAGTGCCTTCTTGATAGAGCGTTGAGTGTGGTGCCTTTCTCTTTCCTCTTCCGGGGAGTAGGGCTGGCAGTGAAGGGATCAGAGCAAAGTGGGGAGGTGGGTGGAAGCCATTCCATGTGTTCCTGGGTCAGAGGAACCAGATGAGCAAATGAAGCCTCTTGGACTTGGAGTACATTGCCACCATCAGCGAGTGGCTGCTGGTTTTCCAGAACCTGCTGGGCAGCACTGCCTGCTCCTTTTCCTGGGATTAGCCCTTAGGACAAGGCAGCCATTGCATTGCGTGGTTTTGAAAGGACTGTTTCTGTTGGCCCTCCTGCATGTCCCTACGCTCCTGAGGGTGTCACTGTGCCTTCCCATTGTCACCCCTGTGCCAGCACAGGCCAAGATGGTTAGAGTCAAGTTCTGTAGGGGACCACGATGCGTATTCCTGGAATGTGTCCTAGAAGACCTGGTTAAGGAAAGAGCTTAAGTGTTTTTTGTTTTTGTCCTGGAATTGCATCTGTGTTTGAGAAAAAGAAAGTTCAGGCCCTGGGCCTGGTGGACAAATCTCCTGGGGATTTTGTTCATCTGTTCCTCTCTAGTCATTCTTGGGCCTTCCTTCCTAGCTGTCAGGGCCCTTGACTCTTTTTTTTTTTTTTTTTGGAGACGGATTCTCACTTTGTCGCCCAGGCTGGAGTACAGGGGCACGATCTCGGCTCACTGCAACCTCCATCTCTGGGGTTCAGGCGATTCTCCCGCCTCAGCCCTCCCGAGTAGCTGGGACTACAGGTGTGCACCACCACGCCCAGCTAATTTTTGTATTTTTTGTAGAGATGGGGTTTCACCATGTTGCCCAGGCTGGCCTTGAACTCCTGACATCAAGTGATCTTCCCGCCTTGACCTCTCAAAGTGCCGGGATTACAGGCGTGAGCCACGGCGCCCGGCCAACTCTTGAACAGAACAATGAGCTTCATCCTTCTGGGTTGAAGCACAGTGATGAAGTGGCCTCACCCATTGAAGAGAGTCGTCTCAGGTCCATTGAGGTTGAACCATTCCATTCAGCTCTTGGAGGGAGAGGATGGACTCACTGCATCCAGTCCTGTCCATCTGAAATGTTTTTTATGTGCTGTTCCCACAAGGCATATAGCTTTTCCTGGTTTCCCAGTTCAGCAGTGACATTGAGGGTGGTCACCGTCCTTCATTTGTGGTAGAAGCCCTGGTGACTGGGGATAGAATCACACCTCTGACTAAAGGAGGACTCATCTTGGGCCCCATGCTGGGGACAGAGAGCCACCATTATTGGGTGCCCTGACAAGGCAGGGAACAGACAGCGAATGTGCGTGTGTGTCTGCCTCCTAGTGCGCCATGTTCTGACAGAGTGATATGATAGGTGCTGTGTGACTAAGATCAGACTACTCCATGTCTCTGTACTTCGGTTTCTTCTGTAAAAACAGGAATAGCAGTGCCAACCTTTTGAGATTCCATTGGGAAATGTCTCTAAGTGCCAGCACAGCACACTGGCTCTCAGCCCGTTGATCTGCCATGCCTAGCTGTGGGTTTCTCTTGGGAGTTGGAGGGGTCAAGGCAGCAGATTGGACCCTGCAGCTGTCTCTTATAGCAAAAAATACCCAAGGCTTGGGGTTAAAAGATGCCGCCCCTGCCTCCCAGCCTGTGAGGTATCTGGTACCTGACCCTCGCCAGGAGTGCGGAGGGGAAAAGTCCTTCTGCAGGCCCGTGGTTGCCCACTGTCTCTTTGTGCCAAGGGGGTTGCCTTGCTGGCTTGTGTCATTGGTTGGCAGGGCTTTTGACAGTGGAGTCCCTATACCCAGCTCTTCCTCCTGTCGTGAATTAAACAAGGAGGCCCCAGCTTGCCCTAACAGGCCCTGTGGTCCAGCACATGGGAAGCATAACCTTGATCAGGGCTAATGCTGCATCCTGGATGCTATGTACCCTGCACAGAACAGCCATGGATGGACGCTGAGCAAGGCAGGGAACGGGGCGTGGCCCCCCTGCCCCTGGAGCTGGACATCACACAGTCCATTTGTGTGTATGCATGAATGTCACATTCTAGAGTTCCCCTTTCCCCAAACTGGTCCAGAGGCAGTCCAGGGTTACACCTCCAGAGGAGAGCCTGAGTCTGTCCACTTTCCTTCCCCACCAGCCCCAGCCCAGGCATTGTGGCTGCTATAGTGCCCGCCTCCCTGCCACTGCTCAGCAGCCAAGTGCAATCTTCATTAGGCCTCCCTCCAGTCCTGTCCCTTCTCTACGTCAGAGATTCTTGTCATCTTCCACACAAAGCCCAGACATCTCACCTTGCCTTCCAGAGCCCTATGGAAGTCTCAGGTGACTCTCCAGGCCCCTGGCTGCCTCCAGCTCCTCAGGGACCAGGCTTCCTTCCTCTGGGCTTCTGCACACACAGTTCCTTGTGCTGGAAACACTTTGGCTCCCCATCTTCATGTTGAAAACAGGCTCCCATCTCCTGGGTCTCAGCTTAAATCCTACTTCCTCAGAGAAGCCTTTCCCTTTCTAAATCCTTGTCTCCATTGCCCCCCTCCTCGCTTGCAGCCATCCTAGCATCACCACAATTTCAGATCATTTACTTGTTTACTACCTGTCTCTCCACTAGACTGTAAGCTCCATTAGGGCAGGGACCACGTCTGTCTTTGCACCATCAAAGCCTAGCCCAGAGCGGGGCATGTAACTATGCTAGTGCCAAGTGAGTCTGTGTTAAAGAAATGAGTGCATCCCAGGCCGGGCACAGTGGCTAACGCCTATAATCCCAGCACTTTGGGAGGCGGGCAGATCACGAGGTCAGGAGATCGAGACCATCCTGGCTAACAATACAAAAATACAAAAAATTAAAACACTAAAATACTAAAAATACAAAAAATTAGCCGGGCGTGGTGGTGGGCGCCTGTAGTCCCAGCTACTCGGGAGACTGAGGCAGGAGAATGGCATGAACCCGGGACGTGGAGCTTGCAGTGAGCTGAGATCGTGCCACTGCACTCCAGCCTGGACGACAGAGTGAGACTCCATCTCAAAAAAAAAAAAAAAAAAGAAAGAAATGAGTGCATCCCAGGGAAAAAAGGGCTCTTGGACCCTGACCATCGGTGCCCTTAATCAGTATAGATTCAGAATTAGGTTTCCCTTCATATCCTCCCTCTCTAGTCGGAATTAGTGTCTGTTTTAGAAATGAGGAAATGGGCTCTGGGCGAATCCTGGCCAGGGTGAGTGGTGTTGAGATGATGAGTTTTTGCTGCAGTTGGGAAAGGCAGGCTTGGAGTCTGATGTGGAAGGACGCGAGGATGGCGTCCCGGGTTCAGGCCACGGATGAGGCCAAAGGGGAGCAGAAAGGACAGTGTGAGCGAGAAGGGAAGGGAGGGAACAAGTGAGGGAGCCTGGGAAGGTGTTGGCCCAAGACGAAACCCTGGATGCTGGCAGCTGGGGAGCAAGGTGATGTTCTTTAAAAGAGAATTCACAGTCTTCAGCACAGGGGCGGCAGGTCGCTCCTGCTGCTCAGGCTGGCTGGCACCAGGGCTGCTCCCAGGCTCACTGTCGGGGACCCAGCCGTCTCTCAGCCACACCCCATGCCCTAGCATACGCAGCCCCTAGGGCCCAGTTGGGAAAGCCCCAGTCCCACCTCTGGCCACGTCGCTTTGGGCTACATGTGTCGCCTTCCTGAGCTTTAGCTCTCTTGAAGATGGGGGTCAGGCAGATCCACGTTACTGTGATATAATATCTGTAAAGCTTCTAGCCCAGGGCCTGGCACATAGTGCTTAGAGAATTTTCCTTCCTTCCTAATTTCCCTACTGAAGGAACAACTTTTTTAAAGTAACTCTTGAAAAGTTAGGGTCCCATTACATTCAGGATATCGTGTGTTTGGGCTGGTCTAGTCATCAGACCTGAGGAACACGAAGGCTATAGAGGGCAGAGCCCCAGGCTGCAGGTGCTGAGGAACTGCCGCTGCCTGGGCCACCACGCGCCCCAGGGAGGGGCCCACAAGTAGCAGCTCGCAGAGCCAACTGGCCAGGCAGACCCTGGCTGCTGACATGTGCTTCATTCTTCACTGGGGAGCTGGTGTGGGGTCCTGTTCTTCTGAGTAATGAGCAAGATTGGGGTGCAGGCCCAAGACTGCTGTGTATTGGTAAAGAGGGCAAACCCTGCCCTGTCCCCTCCTTGAGCAGAGCCTGGCAGGGTACGTGTGGGCATTGGCCTTGATTCACACGGGCATCCTGCAGCCCCAACAAGATGACACCCTTCTGTGTTCTTGGAGGTAGGTGCCCATTAGCTCAACTGCTGGCCTGCATTCCCAGGGCTTGCTTTTACTTGTCTGTGGTGATGTTGTGCCATGGCCTCTGTGTGTGTTCCTGCTTATTGGTGTTTTCTGCCAAGTAGTCAGGAACCTCCTTGGGCAAGAGCATGTGCATGTACGTGCTTGGGAACAGCTCAATCTTAGCTCCCGCAGGCCCCAGCCGCCTTAGCAGTTCTGCGTGTGTGAACTTTATGGAAGCAGAAAGGGCTGGTGACACTTGGGTTCTTGGGGTTTGTCAGGGGAGGGCACCAAATTGGTCTTGAGGAAGCAGTTAGGTGACCCCAGTGACAGTCTTAAGCACAGTGATTGGCAGATAGCAAGTGAAGGAGGGGCAAGGCTGCCACCACTTCTGGCTTCTGGTGAAATTTTACTGGACTGATTCCTAGGAAACTGCTGTTTGTCTTTGAGACCTTTCCACATCAGATGGCCCATGAAGCGTTCCACAGGGACCTTTGGTACAATCCATCTGTCCTACGTGGGCCATCAGAATCCCCTTCTGCACATGGGCTGGAAGAGGAGAGAAGCCCTCCAGCCTGGGGATGGGAGACCTAGGGGTCTCAGGTTCCTGAGAGGTCGAAAGGATTAACATAGTCCAGCTCTGTCTGAGCCTCAGAAAACCTGCCCTCCCTGTTAGAGGCCATGGGAAGAGTGTTCTTTTTAAGCATGAAGAACTGACTGTGGGCCAGGTGTAGTGGCTCACGCCTGTAATCCCAACACTTTGGGAGGCCGAGGTGGGCAGATCAGCTGGGGCCAGGAGTTCTAGACCAGCCTAACATGGCAAAACCACATCTCTCCTAAAAATACAAAAATTAGCCGGGTGTGGTGGCGTGCACCTGTGATCCCAGCTATTTGGGAGGCTGAGGCACAAGAATCACTTGAACCCAGGGGGCAGAGGCTGCAGTGAGCCAAGAGCACACCACTACACTCCAGTCTGGGCAATAGAGCAAGACTGTCTCAAAAAAAAAAAAAAAAAAAAAAAAAAAAAAGACTGTCATTAGCCAAGCATGGTGGCGTGTACCTGTAGTCCCAGCTACTTGGAAGGCTGAGGTGGGAGGATTGCTTGAGCCCAGGAGGTCAAGGCTGCAGGGAGCCAAGGCGACAGAGCGATGTCTTGTCTCAAAAACAAACAACTAGCTGTGTTGACTAGAGGCAGCTGTGAAACTGTCCTAAAAGGCTGGACTTCGAGAAGTTTCTTCCACAGATTGACCAGGTACTGTAGGTTTCAGTCACAACTGGGGTCCTGACACTGGCAAAGCCCCACCAGCTGCCCCACAAGTGGGGCCTGCCCTGAGGTCAGGGAGTTCTCTGCTGTACTGGTTCCTTTATGCACTAGGAAGGCAGACATGCCCTGAGGAGCCCTCAGAGTCCAACCCCAGCACCCCCACTAGGTCATTGCTGCCTTTAATCACATTCCAGATCCAGAGCCACACAGTGGCCCTGGCATTGGTCTCGGGTGTGTCCCATATCAGCAGCACATCTGCAGAGGGGCGTGAGTGCAGGCTCCCTGCTGAAAGCTCCCAGGGGTACCACGGAACAGCGGCTGTTGGTGGTGGACCCTGTGGAGGCTCCTGGCCTTCACTGTGTGTCCCTTGTCTTCCAGGTGAGACTGTGGAGATGAGAAGGTGGTGGACACTCGTGATGGAATGGAAATCGTCCTACCGTGCAGCCACACCCTGCCCTGCCCCGCCCCGCCCCGCCCGCGTGCCTGCCCATGCCAGCACTTCCTTAAGTTCTCACATCACACTCAAACCAGTGACACCACAGGAAAGAAAGACCCAAGACGTTGGAATGGCTGTTTCCATGGACACAATCTCCATAGTGACAATGTGGGGGGAGGGGGGAGGGGTGGGATGATGGGGAAAGGGTGGGGGGAATTAAAAGGGAGGGATAAATATATATATATAAATCTATTTTTAGTCTGGAAAGACTTTGTTTAAATGAAAGGTGCGCTATCCCTTTTGATTCTGTTTTAAAATTATCTCGTTAAAGATCTCCAAATTTGTTCCGATGACAAGTGAAATTTAAATGTGAGATTGAACTGAACAAACCCTCATCTCATGAAGGACGGGGTGTGTGTGTGGCGTTGATCTTTAGCCTGTCTCACACCAGTTCAGAAAACACTAGACCCAGGATTGAAAAAGCAAACCACAGCAGAACCATCCTTTTGTCATTAATTTGTCTCAAAGTGGGAAGGTTTTGGGGGAGGGGGAAATACAGGGATGGTCCATGTTTTCAAGAGTAGGGGAATGATGTTTAAACACAAAAATAAATTTTTTTTCATTTCCAGAAACACTATTTATTTATGGTTTTTTTTTTTTAATTTTTTCTTTTTGGGGGTGAAATTGGCAGATGCCTGAGGTCATAGCTGTGTCCTGGGTCACTGTGGCTGGTGAGGACCTCAAGGACCCCATCAAGTGTACACAGCAGCAGCAAAATCAAGGGATGACCCTCCTCTGGGGCCCCCTGTCCTCAGCACATTCCAGGCAGCTGTGCCCTGACCCACAGGGACCCGTGGGGATGGGAGGAGGTCCAGGCCTGTGTTGCCAGAGCTGGCAGTGTGAGCTGTAGGCAGGGACGGGGAGGGACTGTCGCTGTGATCAGAGTGGGTTAAGCTGACCAGGAACACCCATTTAACCCCTTTTTCTTTTTGCTTTCATTTTTATAAAGGAAAAGAGGACCTGTCAGATAGGCAGCCCCATGCTACGTGATTCTTTATGTTGTGTTGTTTTGTTTTGTAAATTGTATAATTTTTAAATATCTGAGTTTTAAAAAAAGAAAAAAGTACAAAAAAATCTTGTTATGGCCTTAAGAAGGGGTTAGTGCATCTTTCAGGGGTCACTCTGCCATGGGGATAAAATAGCTGTTTCACAAACAGTTTTATTTAAAAAAACAAAAAACAAAAAAAATCAAAAAATCAAAAAAATAATAAACTTCATTTTAACCTTGTTTCCTCTTCTGTTTACTTTAAAGTGAATGCGTCTCTTCCTTCTCCCATTCTAACCCCCAAAGGGTAGCTCTGGTTCTCCAGAGGAGGCCATGATCAGAACCTGTCTGTCCCATTCCTGGCCTCTCGATGGCCACGCAGCCGGGAAGCAAACAAAATATAGGGTTCTTCTGCCACTCCTCTGGGCAGGTGGAGTGTGGCCAGTGTATGGGGACAGTCAGATTTACTCAAGTTGATATGAAGACATATTTCCAATCAACATTAAGGGTTATAAAAAAATAATGGAATGTTAATGGACTTTTTTAGAGAATGGAAATACTGGAAGGAATATTGTGAAGCAGAAATAAGCAATTATAAATGAGTTCTGTGTTCATCAATTTGGGGCAGCAGAAATGGCAGATTAATTGTATTTTAATGGCTACATCAAGCAGTCCATTTCTCATTTCACTCCGCCAGGATGGAGGTGTGGGTGGGTGCGCCGTGCCGGCCGTAGGACCAAGCTTAGGCAACTGAACAGGACCTGCACAGAAATGATGGCTTTTTTGAGCTAGTTGTTGTCTCATTCTGGTCTTGACTTGGCATTAATACAGTTAAAATGAAATGGATAGACTTCAGGTGTCAAGGGCTAAACCACAAAACTTGAAAAATATGTATCTTGAGGAAAATATTTTCCTGACAGCAAATGTTTGTCATTTTGTCTTTTATTCTTTTGTCCCCTTTTGATTTGCCTGAGTGGAGCACTTGTGATTGTTCTAGGTCTTTCCTTAAATTGGCTTCAGTAATGACCTTCACTGGGGAGTGGCAGTGATACACGCATGCCTCCTGACTCCAGTTTCTGGCTTCTGCAGTTCTCCTCAACTGCTCAAGTGCCTTTTAGTTCCTTTAGTGTTTGTCTTAATTGATTTTTTTAAAGTAGTTTTATGTTCACAGAAGGATTAAGCTGACGGTACAGACAGTTCCCATATAACCCCTTCCCCCCGTATGCATACCTTTCCCTCTATCAACATCCCAACCAGAGTTGGCATACTGTTTTCACCCAAAGTCCATAGTTTATACTAGGGGCCACTCCCGGTGGTGTACATTTTATGGCCTTTGACAAATGTATAAAGACCTGGATCTGGCAGGGCGTGGTGGCTCTCGCCTATAATCCCAGCATTTTGGGAGGCTCAGGTGGGTGTATCGCTTGAGTTCGAGAACAGCCTGGGCAACATGGCGAAACCCCATCTCTACATAAAAATACAAAAATTAGCCAGGCATGATGGTGCATGCCTGTAGTCTCAGCTACTTGGGAGGCGGAGATGGGAGGATCACTTGAGCCCAGGAGGTCGAGGCTACAGTGAGTCGTGATCGCGCCACCACACTTCAGCCTGGGTGACAGCAAAATCCTGTCTCAAAAAGACGAGGACGCACCATGATCCAGAGTAGTTTCACTGCTCCAGGGATCCTCCGTGTCCCACTGTTCATTCCTCCTTAGCCCCAGTCCCTCACCGCTGAGCCTTTTACTGTCTGCAAAGTTTTGCCTTTTCCAAAGTATCATATAGTTGAGATTAGATAGTAGGTAGCCTTTTTTAGATTGGCTTCATTCACTTAGTAATGTGCATTTAAGGTTCACCCGTGTCTTTTCATGACTTGATAGCTTGTTTCTTTTTAGTGATAAATAATTCCATTGTCTGGCTGTACCACAGTTTATCCATTCAACTGCTGAAGAACATCTTGGTTGCTTTCAAGTTTTGACAATTACAAATGAAGCTGCTGTAAACATCCCTTTGCAGGTTTTTGTGTGGACATAAGGCCTCAACTCCTTTGGGTAAGTACAGGAAGCACGATTGGTGGATTGTATGGTAAGAGTATGTCTAGTTTTGTAAGAAATTGCCAAACTGTCTGGATCACCTGAGGTCAGGAGTTTGAGACCAGCCTGGCCAACATGGTGAAACCCTGTCTCTACTAAAAATACAAAAATCAGCCAGGCATGGTGGCTCACGCCTGCAGTCCCAGCTAAACGGGAGGCTGAGGTGGGAGGATTGCTTGAACGCAGGAGGCAAAGGTTCCAGTGAGCTGAGATCATCGTGCCACTGCACTCCTAGCCTGGGTGACAGAGTGAGTGAGACTCTGTCTCAAAAAAAAAAAAAAAAAAAAAACTGAGAAAAGGAAAAGAAATTGCCAAACTTTCTTCCA
Source organism: Homo sapiens (assembly GCF_000001405.40). Lineage (NCBI taxonomy): Eukaryota > Metazoa > Chordata > Mammalia > Primates > Hominidae > Homo > Homo sapiens. The sequence continues at coordinate 60,022 of NW_014040930.1, read as the reverse complement.
AAGTGTCTGTACCATTTTGTACTCCCACCAGCAATGAATGAGTTCCTGATGCTCCACATCCTTGCCAGCATTTGGTGTTGTCAGTGTTCTGGATTTAAGCCATTCTAATAGGTGTGTATATAGCCATTTATTTTTTTAATACTCATAAAGTTTTTAAATTGTGGTTAAAAAAATGTACCATCATAACAGTCACAGTACAGTTTAGTGGGAAATGTGTTCAGATTGTTGTGCAACCAATCTCCAGAATTTTTCATTTTATAAAACGGAAGCTTTACCCATTAAACTGCCCCCCTGCAGGCTGGCCCTGCCCCTGGAGCTTTCCATTTCTGTTTCTAGGGTACAAGCAGCCCTCGATACCCACAGGCTCCGCATCCACAAATTCAACCACACATCAAAGATAACTTGAGAAAGTATAACAACTAAAAATACAAATAAGAGCAGTACAGTATAGCAACTATTTATGTAGCATTTACACTGTATTAGGCATTACAAATAATCTAGAGATGATTTAAAGTATACAGGAGCATTTGCATAGGTATACTATGCCATTTTACATAAGGAACCTGAGCATCCTTGGGTTTTGGTATTTACCGGGGGTCCTGGCACCAATCCCCTCCAGGATACCCAGACACAACTATTCCACTGCCCATAACCCCGTCCCCTTGCAGCTGTGGAAACGCAGAGGTGCTGCTCTGAGGGCAGACAGACCCCACCACTCAGCACTCTTGAGTCGGACCCAGCAGAAACCCATCCCATGGGAGGAGCTGGGAATTGGAGGGTCTCTCCCAGTAGCATTGCTATGCCTGGCAGGGGGAAGGGCAAGAACAAGCAAAATGCTCCAACTTGACTACCCTTCCCAGTGCAGTCCCTCCCTGGCTCTGCACTAGCTGGCATTGCAGCATCCTAACTAGTTTCTAGAATTCTCACGATGTTTTGGTCTCCTATAGCTTTAACATTGAGCTCTCTAGGAGAACGAGAGCCCGCAGTTTCCTAGTCTACCACTTGCTGACATATTTTCACACCATCTCACTTGGCAACGTCCATAGGGCCTGCCAGGGCACAGTGCACTTTTTACCATGACACAGCAGTACCACTGTTCAGGGAAGGCAGGTTGGATCTGTTTCCTAAAAATAATAAATCCCAGAAACATCTATACTGACCATTAATAGAATGTAATGTCCAAACAGTATAGAATAGTAGCTCAGCATACACATTGGATGTGGACTCCTAACACCGCTGTGTGACTTGAACCTTGTTATGTGATCTCTGAGCCTCAGTCTCTGTGCCTTGGGGACCATAAAACCACCTCCTTAGGGGGCTGTGGGAGGATTAATGAGCTAGAGCACACAGTCTGACCAGCAGTTTCTGGCACATAAGTGCCCGATCAATGGAAGCCACAGGTGCACAATGATTGGAAAAGGCCACAGGCATTGTTATTAAATGTTTTCCTCATGCTGCCATATCTTGAATTACAGGCCTCTGGCTGGTAAGGAGGGCACTCGGGAGGACACTGCCCACATTGCAGGCATGCCTGTCCCTGCCCTTCACACCCCCATCATGATTCATGATGACTGCTTGGGGAGGGCCTGACACCTCAAAAGGCCAAGAGTGCATACAGGTAATGTATAAAGGGCCACCATGTAACAAGCACCCAGACCATCCTGCTGTCCCTGCACCTTGATTCTCTCACAGTCCCAAATAGAACAGTGCTGCCATGTAGGACAGGAACATTCATTCAGCTGAGGCCAGTTTGGGAGACCACAAGCCAGATCTGAGAAGTCCCCAGATAGGCATGGGTCTTGCTCTCTCTGTCAGTTGAGTAGCTTCAAAACTTCTGTTGGGCCAGGTGGCTCATGCCTCTATTTCCAACACTTTGGGAGGCCAAGGCAGGAGGATCACTTGAAGCCAGGAGTTCCAGACCAGCGTGGGCAACATAGTGAGGACCCATCTCAACAAAAAAATTAGCCGAGCGTAATGATGTGCACCTGTAGTTCCAGCTACTCGGGACGCTAAAATAGGATCTCTTGATTGAGCACAGGAGTTTGAGTGAGCTATGATCACAGCTCTGCACTCCAGCCTGGGCAACAGAGCAAGATCTTGTCTCTAAAAAATATATATATATTTTTAAATTTTAAATAAACTGTTCTCCCTGCCTTTTGTTCCCCAGATCCAGTCTTCATCCAGACCTGAAAAGACCCAGGCTCCAGCTGCTGGCCTCCTGCTGCCCCTCAGGCCACCTGCACAGGAAATTCCAGGGGTGGGTTGGTCCCACTGCCAGTGCCGTGGCCTACAGTGCTAGGCAGCCCCTCAGTCAGCTAGACAAAGTTCTCCATGAATCCTTCCCAGAAAGTCCTGTTCCAGCCTGGGACAACGTCCCCATGGACCCTCATGGCACTGCTGGCTTGTCATGTCAGCTATGTTACCTTCCTACTCCCCGTGGTCATCATTACGTTGGGGCATTGACTCACAGCCTTACCACCATGCTCCCAGTACACAGCCCAGCACCCAGTACAATCCATACCTCCAACTTGGGTGGAGCTCCCATGCCAGGCCACCTCTCGCCCACCACCCTAATCTGGGTAGGCAACTAGAGCGAGCAGGGGCAAGGACCTCTGCAGCAGCCCATACCCGCCCTGGCCTGACCCTGCACCCACTGGCAGCACAGTCAACACAGCAGGTTGGCTCACAGCAGAAGGCAAAGGCCATCATCAGCTCCCTTTATAAGGGAACGGTCATGCACTGGGTGTGCTGAGAGTGTCCTGCCTGGTCCTCTGTGCCTGGTGGGGTGGAGGTGCCAGGTGTGTCCAGAGGAGCCCAATGGGCAGTGAGGCAGCCATGGGGCTGGATGCACTGGTGCCCCTGGCAGTGACAGTGGCCATCTTCCTGCTCCTGGTGGACCTGATGCAGCAGCACCAACGCTGGACTGCACGCTACCCGCCAGGCCCCCTGCCACTGCCCGGGCTGGGCAACTTGCTGCATGTGGACTTCCAGAACATATACACCTTCAACCAGGTGAGGGAGGAGGTCCTGAGGATCCCCCACCACCAGCAAACATGGGTGGTGGGTGGAGCCACAGTCTGGACAAGAAGCCAGGCTGAGAAGGGGAAGCAGATTTGAGGGACTTCCTGGGGGAGGGCATTTATGCATGGCATGAAAGATGGGATTTTCCAAAGGCCAAGGAAGAGTAGGGCAAGGGCCTGGAGGTGGAGCTGGACTTGGCAGTGGGCGTGCAAGCCCATTGGGCAGCATATGTTAGGAGCACAAAGTCCCCTCTGCTGACACCAGAAGGAAAGGCCTTGGGAATGGAAGACGAGTCAGGGTCCTGTGTGCCGTTTAAATCAGGAAATCAGGCTGTGCGTGGTGGCTCACGCCTATAATCCCAGCACTTAAGGAAGCCAAGGTGGGCGGATCACCTGAGGTCAGGGGTTCCAGATGAGTCTGGCCAACATGGCAAAAACCGGTCTCTACTAAACATACAAAAAATGAGCTGGGCACAGTGGTGCACGCCTGCAATCCCAGCTACTTGGGAGGCTGAGGCAGGAGAATTGCTTGAACTTAGGAGGCAGAGGTTGTAGTGAGTGGAGATTGTGCCATTGCCTTGCAACCTCGGTGACACAGCCAGACAATGTCTAAATAAACGAATAAGAAATCAGGCCGGGCGCGGTGGCTCACGCCTGTAATCCCGGCCCTTTGGGAGGCTAAGGCGGGCGGATCATGAGGTTAGGAGATCGAGACCATCCTGGCTAACACAATGAAACCCGTCTCTACTAAAGATACAAACCAATTAGCCAGGCGAGGTGGTGGGCACCTGTAGTCCCAGCTACTTGGGAGGCTGAGGCAGGAGAATGGCATGAACCCATGAGGCAGAGCTTGAAGTGAGCTGAGAACACACCATTACACTCCAGTCTGGGCGACAGAGCGAGACTCTGTCTCAAAAAAAAAAAAAAAAAAAAAAAAAAAAAAAATCAACGGCTGGGCGCGGTGGCTCACACCTGTAATCCCAGCATCTTGGGAGACCAAGGTGGGGGGATCACAAGGTCAGGAGTTCGAGACCAGCCTGGCCAACATGGTGAAACCCTGCCTCTACTAAAAATACAAAAATTAGCGGGGCACGGTGGTGGGCACCTGTAATCCCAGCTACATGGGAGGCTGAGGCAGGTGAATTGCTTGAACCCGGGAGGTGGAGGTTGCAGTGAGCCAAGATCGCGCCATTGCGCTCCAGCCTGGGTGACAGAGCCAGACATGGTCTAAATAAATGAGTAAGTTAGAAATCAAGGATGAAGGGATATAGTGGACCCGGTTCAAACCTTTTGCACTGTGGGTCCTCGGGCCTCACTGCTCACCGGCATGGACCATCATCTGGGAATGGGATGCTAACTGGGGCCTCTCGGCAATTTTGGTGACTCTTGCAAGGTCATACCTGGGTGACGCATCCAAACTGAGTTCCTCCATCACAGAAGGTGTGACCCCATCCCCGCCCCAGGATCGGGAGGCTGGGTCTCCTCCTTCCACCTGCTCACTCCTGGTAGCCCCGAGGGTCGTCTAAGGTTCAAATAGGACTAGGACCTGCAGTCTGGGGGGACCCTGGCCTGATGGAGGCCCTGACCCAACGGAGGCCCTGACCCTCCCTCTACAGCTGCGGCACCGCTTTGGGGACGTGTTCAGCCTGCAGCTGGCCTGGATGCCGGTGGTCGTGCTCAATGGGCTGGCGGCCGTGCGTGAGGCTCTGGTGACCTGCGGCGAGGACACCGCCGACCGCCCGCCTGCGCCCATCTACCAGGTCCTGGGCATCGGGCCGCGCTCCCAAGGCAAGCGGCGGTGGGGGACAGAGACTGCGTTTCCGTGGGTCCTGGGTGGGCGGTGACCGTAGCCCAAGCTGGGCTGAGAGGGCGCGGGGTTGTGGGCCAGTGAGTGGGTTGGGGACAGCGAGCCAGGAAACCACTTCCATTGGGGAGGTGCGAGTCTGTGGGCGGGAGGAAGAGGGGCTTGTGAGTGGGCGGGGCAACTGCCGAGACCCACCAGGAACCGGGTGGGCGGAGCTGGCGCCTTTCCCAGCTGGAAGCGGGTGTCTAGAAGCCGGGATGGACTCTGCTGTGGGCTCAGTATGGGCGGGGCGGGACGGGCGGGATCTTCCCTGAGTGGAAAGGCAGTCAGGGTCGGAAGAGCCAAGGTGGGGCCAAGACCCAAGCAAGGTGAGTGAGCAAAGAGCAGGCCCTGTGCCCAGCTGGACAGGGCCAGGGACTGCGGGAGACCAGGAAAAGCACAGGGTTGGAGTGGGCGGCGGAGGGCGGGGCCAAGGCCTCCATGACCACGCCCATGTGTCCGTCCCGCCCCCAGGGGTGTTTCTGGCACACTACGGACACGCGTGGCGCGAGCAGAGGCGCTTCTCCGTGTCCACCTTGCGCAACTTGGGCCTGGGCAAGAAGTCCCTGGAGCGGTGGGTGACCGAGGAGGCCGCCTGCCTCTGTGCCGCCTTCGCCGACCAAGCCAGTGGGTGATGGGCAGAGGGGCACAAAGCGGGAACTGGGAAGGTGGAGGACTGGGAAGGCGACCCCTGACCCGCATCTCCCGCCCCCAGGACGCCCCTTTCACCCCAACGGCCTCCTGAACAAAGCGGCGAGCAACGTGATCGCCTCCCTCACCTGCGGGTGCCGCTTCGAGTACGACGACCCTCGCTTCCTCAGGCTACTGGACCTAGCTCAGAAGGGATTGAAGGAGGAGCTGGGCTTTCTGTGAGAGATGTGGAGCGAGGGACCGCAGGGTCTCTGCAGGGCGAGCTCCTGAGAGGTGCCGGGACTGCAGCCGGACCTCCAAGGAGCAGGGTTTGCATAGAGTGGTTTGGGAAAGGACATTCCAGAAGAGCTCACTGCTAGAGGAAGGGCCTTGAGGAGGAGGAGACATCTCAGATACGGTCGTGGGAGAGGTGTGCCCGGGTCAGGGGGCACCAAGAAAGGCCAAGGACCCTGTGCCTCCTGTCCACATTGGAGATTTTGATTTTTAGGTTTCTCCTCTGGCAGCCCAGGGCAAGGAGAGAGGGTGGAGGCTGGCACTTGGGGAGGGACTTGGGGAGGTGAGTGGTGGGGACAGGTAGGCCCTGGGTCTTCCCTGGAGGCAGCTGGGGCCTGAGACTGGTCCAGGTGAACGCAGAGCACAGGAGGGATTGAGACCCCGTTCTGTGTCAGCTGTAGATGCTGAATGTTGTCCCCCTCCTCCTGCGCATCCCAGGGCTGGCTGGCAAGGTCCTACGCTCCCAAAAGGCTTTCCTGACCCAGCTGGATGAGCTGCTGACCGAGCACAGAATGATCTGGGACCCAGCCTAGCCACCCCGAGACCTGACTGAGGCCTTCCTGGCAGAGAAGGAGAAGGTGAGAGTGGCTGACACGGTAGGGACCAGGGGTGGTGGGTTGAGCGTCCGGGAGGAATGAGGCAGGCAAAAGGTGGGTCCATTGGATCACTTGGCAAGTGGCACCTGGGCTGACAGGTGCAGAATGTGGAGGTCATTTGGGGGCTTTCCCGTTCTGTCCCCTGAGTACCCTCTCAGCCCTGCTCAGGCCAAGGGGAACCCTGAGAGCAGCTTCAATGATGAGAACCTGCGCATGGTGGTGGCTGACCTGTTCTTTGCCGGGATGGTGACCACCTCGATCACGCTGGCCTGGGGCCTCCTGCTCATGATCCTACGCCCGGATGTGCAGCGTGAGCCCAGCTGGGGCCCAGTGCAGGGGGCAAGGGAGGAAGGGTACAGGTGGGGGCCCCTGAGCTTAGCTGGGACACCCGGGACTCCAAGCACAGGCTTGGCCAGGTTCCTGTAAGCCTAACCTCCTCCAACACAGGAGGCAGGAGAGTGTCAGGGCTGGTCCCCTGGGTGCTGACCCATTGTGGGGACGCGTGTCTGTCCAGGCCGTGTCCAACAGATCGACAACGTGATAGGGCAGGTGTGGTGACCAGAGATGGGTGACCAGGCTCGCATGCCCTGCACCACTGCCGTGATTCACGAGGTGCAGCGCTTTGGGGACATCGTCCCCCTGGGTGTGACCCATATGACATCCCGTGACATCGAAGTACAGGGCTTCCGCATCCCTAAGGTAGGCCTGGCACCCTCCTCACCCCAGCTCAGCACCAGCCCCTGGTGATAGCCCCAGCATGGCCACTGCCAGGTGGGCCCAGTCTAGGAACCCTGGCCACCCAGTCCTCAATGCCACCACATCGACTGTCCCAGCCTGGGTGTGGGGTGCAGAGTATAGGCAGGGCTGGCCTGTCCATCCAGAGCCCCAGTCTAGTGGGGAAGGCAGACCAGGACCTGCCAGAATGTTGGAGGACCCCAATACCTGTAGGGAGAGGGGGTAGCGTGGGCGCTCCCAGGAGGTGTGACTGCGCCCTGCCGTGGGGTCGGAGAGGGTGCTCTGGAGCTTCTCGGGCACAGGACTAGTTGACAGAGTCCAGCTGTGTGCCAGGCAGTGTGTGTCCCCTGTGTGCTTGGGGGTCCCAGCATCCTAGAGTCCAGTCCCCACTCTCACCCTGCATCTCCTGCCCAGGGGATGATGCTCTTCACCAACCTGTCATCGGTGCTGAAGGATGAGGCCGTCTGGGAGAAGCCCTTCCGCTTCCACCCCGAACACTTCCTGGATGCCCAGGGCCACTTTGTGAAGCTGGAGGCCTTCCTGCCTTTCTCAGCAGGTGCCTGTGGGGAGCCCGGCTCCCTGTCCCCTTCCGTGGAGTCTTGCAGGGGTATCACCCGGGAGCCAGGCTCACTGACGCCCCTCCCCTCCCCACAGGCCGCCGTGCATGCCTCGGGGAGCCCCTGGCCCGCATAGAGCTCTTCCTCTTCTTCACCTCCCTGCTGCAGCACTTCAGCTTCTCGGTGCCCACCGGACAGCCCCGGCCCAGCCACTCTCGTGTCGTCGGCTTTCTGGTGACGCCATCCCCCTATGAGCTTTGTGCTGTGCCCCGCTAGAGTTGCTCCTCAGCTGGGACCCTGTTGTACAATAAATTAGTCTAGTGGCTCCCACTTGGTTTCTGTATCCAGTCTGGGCCCCTGCCAAGGTCCTGGTTGTGTTGGGTCGTCAGTCACCTGCCTGATGTCAGTGCTCACCCCTCACCCCTCACCCCTCACCTCATTCATTCATTTTTTTTTTTTTTTTTTTGAGATGGAGCCTACTCTGTCACCCAGGCTGGAGTGCAGTGGTGCAATCTCAGCTCACTGCAACCTCCGCCTCCAGAGTTCAAGCGATTCTCGTGCCTCAGCTTCCTGAGTAGCTGGGATTACAGGCACCGGGTACCACCCCCGGCTCATTTTTGTCTTTTTAGTAGTGATGGGTTTCGCCATGTTGGCCAGTCTGGTTTCAAACTCCTGACTTCACGTGACCACCAGCCTCAGCCTCCCAAAGTGCTGGGATTACAGGCGTGAGCCACCGAGACCAGCCTCACCTCATTCACTCTTACCTGGACGCCTGACTTTACTTGAGATACAGGCATAGTGATTCTCAGCAGGAAACAGCCTGCCCCCACGTCACGCCCAGAGACCCATCACTGGCTGCCTGGCTTGGTGACAAAGTCCATGCGTAAGTCTTGGCTGGGGTGGATATGAATAGGCATATGCCAAGAATCAACCCATTCCCTGGCTAGGGTGGGAGACTGTGTTGTGCTCCCCCAGACCACCCTCAGGTTCAGTGATTTCTAGAAGGTCTCACAGCCCTAGAAAAGCTGTTATTCTCCCTGTTAACAGTTTATTACAGAGAAGGGTACAGATTAAAGTCAGCAAAGATGAAAGGCACAGGGACCAGAGTCCAGAATGACCAGGCCAAGGCTGCAGCTCTCTTTTCTGGTGGACTCCTACAGGCAGTGCTTAATTCTCCCCCAACAGTAAGTGAGGCAGCAGAGAGCCCTGCCAGCCACGGAAGCTCACCTGGGCCTTGGTGTCCATGGTTTTTGTTGGGAGTTGGTCATCCTAGGCTTGAGCCCCCGCAGCATGGCTGACCTCAGTTACTCAGTCTCCAGCCCCTCCTGAAGTCAGATGGATACAGGCCTGACGGCCCCACCCTCGATCACATTGTTGGCATAAACTGTGTTGTACGGTCCAAGGCCCTAGCTATGTACAAAGACACTATTTCAGGCAGGACATTCCAAGGCCTTAGCAGATATCTCCCAGCCTCCTGTCAAGAGTCAGTTTGGACTCTTGGTCCAGTGGCTTGCATTGTGCAAGGAATGACTTCCCCACTTTTTACTACACAGGCCACCCCTCTTGGCTCTAACAGCAAAATGATATTAGTTTGAGCATCTGTGTGTGTGTGTGTGTGTGTGTGTGTGTGTGTGTTTTCTTGAGACAGGGTCTTGCTCTGTCACCGAGGCTGGAGTGCAGTGATGCCATCAGGGCTCACTGCAGCCTTGACTTCCTGGGTTCAAGCAATCCTCCCATCTCAGCCTCCCTAGTAGCTGGGACTGCAGGCACATGCCACCATGCTTTGCTAATTTTTGTATTTTTTGTAGAGACGGAGTTTCACCATGTTGGCCAGGCTGCTTTCGAACTCCCTATCTCAGGTCATCTGACTGCCTCAGCCCCCCAGAGTGCTGGGATTACAGGTGTAAGCTACTGTGCCCAGCCAAATTTCCTTCCTAATTTCTTCATTGAACCACTGGCCATTCCGGACCATATTGTTTAATTTTCACGTGTATGTATAGTTTCCAGAATTCCTCTTGTTGTTGATTTCCACTTTTATTCTGTTGTGGTCAGAGAAGATGCTTGATATTATTTTAACATTTGTAATGTTTTAAGACTTGCTTTGTGACCTAACATATGGTGTATCCTTGAGAATGATCCATGTGCTGAGGAGAAGAATGTGTATTCTGCAGACTTTAGACGAAGTGTTCTGTAAGTATCTAGTAGGTCCATTTCTTTTGTAGTGCAGATTAAGTCTAATGTTTTCTTATTGGGTTTCCATCTGGGACACCCGTCCAATGCTGAATGTGGGGTGTTGACGTCTTTAGCTGTTATTGCGTTAACGTCTCTCTTGGGCTCCAATAACATTTGCTTTACGTGCTCCAGTGTTGTGTGCATATGTATTTACAATTGTTATATTCTGTTGCTGGATGACCTTCTTTGTCTCCTCTTACAGTTTTTTTGGTTGTTGTTGTTTGTTTGTTTTGTTTTGGAGACGGAGTCTCGCTCTGTCACCCAGGCTGGAGTGCAGTGGCGCGATCTTGGCTCACTGCAAGCTTCGCCTCCCAGGTTGACGCCATTCTCCTGCCTCAGCCTCCTGAGTAGCTGGGACTACAGGCGCCCGCCACCACGCCTGGCTAATTTTTTGTATTTTTAGTAGAGACGGGGTTTCACCATGTTAGCCAGGATAGTCTCAATCTCCTGACCTCGTGATCCGCCCGTCTTGGCCTCCCAAAGTGCTGGGATTACAGGCGTGAGCCACCACACCCGGCCTCCTCTTACAGTTTTTGTTTTAAAATCTGTTCTGTCTAAGTATTGCTACTCCTGCTCTTTTTTGTTTTCCATTGGCATGGAGTATCTTTTTCCATCCCTTTATTTTCAGTCCATGTGTATCTTTACAGGTGAAGTGTGTTTCTTCTAGACAAAAGAGCATTGAGCTTTGCTTTTTCATCCATTCAGCCACTCTGTGTCTTTGTATTGGAGAGTTTAGTCCATTTACATTCAATGTTATTATTGCTAAGCAGGGACTTACTCCTGCTATTTTGTTATTTCTTTTCTCACTGTTTTGTGGTCTTCTCTTTTTTTTTTTTTTTTTTTTTTTTTTCCTTGTCTTCCTTTTAATGAAGGTGATTTTCTCTGGTGGTATGATTTAATTTCTTGCTTTTTTGTGTGTGTGTATCCATTGTGTGTTTTTTCTTCTTTTCTTTTTGAGACACAGTCTCACTTATTGTGTGCTTTTTGATTTGAGGTTGCCGTGAGGCTTGCAAATATTATCTTATAACTCATTATTTTAAACGGATGACAACACTGATTGTGTAAACAAACATAAAGCAAAAGGAAGACTAATAAAAACTCTACACTTTAAGTTCATCTTAGTGCTTTTTAACTTTTTGTTGTTTCTCTTTTTTTGTTTTTGAGATAAAGTCTTGCTCTGTTGCCCAGGCTAGAGTGCAGTGGCACGATCTCAGCTCACTGTAACCTCCACTTCCCAGGTTCAACCGATTCTCCTGCCTCAGCCTCCTGGGTAGCAGGCGCCCACCACCATGCCCAGCTAAATTTTTTGTATTTTTAGTAGAGATGGGGTTTCACCATGTTGGCCAGGCTTGTCTCGAACTCCTGCCCTCAGGTGATCCACCCACCTCAGCCTTACAAAGTGCTGGGATTACCTGCGTGAGCCACCGGGTCCGGCCTCTTTATGTCTTACTGTACTGTCTGTCTTGAAAAGTACTTATTATTTTTGATTGGTTCATCATTTAGTCTAATTAAAATAAGAGTAGTTTACACACCACAATTACAGTATTATAATACTCTGTTTTTCTGTGTGCTTACTATTACCAGTGAGTTTTGTACCTTTAGATGATTTCTTCTTGCTCATTAATATCCTTTTTTTTTTCAGATTGAAAAACTCCCTTTAGCATTTCTTGTGGGATATAGGTCTGGTGTTGATGAAATCTCGCAGCTTTTGTTTGTCTGGGAAGGTCTTTATTTCTCCTTCCTGTTGGAAGGATATTTTTGCCAGATACGTTATTCTAGGCTAAAAGTTTTTTTTCCTTCAGCACTTTAAATATGTCATGCCACTCCCCCCTGGCCTGTAAGGTTTCCACTGGAAAGGTGGCTGCCCCATGTCATGTATTGGAGCTCTACTGCATGTTATTTGTTTCTTTTCTCTTGCTGCTTTTAGGATCCTTTCTTTATCCTTGACCTTTCGGAGTTTAATTATCAGATGCCTTGAGGTCGTCTTCTTTGGGTTAAATCTGCTTGGTGTTCTATAAACTTCTTGTACAAAAAATCAGCCAGGCATGGTGGTGGGCACCTGTAATCCCAGCTACTTGGGAGGCTGAGGCAGGAGAATCGCTTGAACCCTGGAGGTGGAGGTTGCAGTGAGCCGAGATCGCATCATTGCACTCCCACCTGGGCGACAGAGCAAAACTCCGTCTCAAAAAAAAAATTATTTGGGCTCGGTGGTGCCTGTAGTCCCAGCTACTTGGGAGGCAGGAGGTCCACTTGATGTTGAGATTGCAGTGAGCCATGATCCTGCCACTGCACTCCGGCCCGGGCAACAGAGTGAGACCCTGTCTAAAGAAAAAATAAAAATAAAAAAGCAACATATCCTAAATAAAGGATCCTCCATAATGTTTCCACCAGATTTCTAATCAGAAACATGGAGGCCAGGAAGCAGTGGAGAATGACGACCCTCAGGCAGCCCTGGAGGATGCTGTCACAGGCTGGGGCAAGGGCCTTCAGGCTACCAACTGGGAGCTCTGGGAACAGCCCTGTTGCAAACAGGAAGTCATGGCCCGGCCAGAGCCCAGAATGTGGGCTGAGCTGGGATCCATGTGACAGCTTTGAGGCTCACCGGGAGCAGCCTCTGGACAGGAGAGGTCCCATCCAGGAAACCTCGGGCATGGCTGGGAAGTGGGGTACTTGGTGCCGGGTCTGTATGTGTGTGTGACTGGTGTGTGTGAGAGAGAATGTGTGCCCTGAGTGTCAGTGTGAGTCTGTGTATGTGTGAATATTGTCTTTGTGTGGGTGATTTTCTGCATGTGTAATCGTGTCCCTGCAAGTGTGAACAAGTGGACAAGTGTCTGGGAGTGGACAAGAGATCTGTGCACCATCAGGTGTGTGCATAGCGTCTGTGCATGTCAAGAGTGCAAGGTGAAGTGAAGGGACCAGGCCCATGATGCCACTCATCATCAGGAGCTCTAAGGCCCCAGGTAAGTGCCAGTGACAGATAAGGGTGCTGAAGGTCACTCTGGAGTGGGCAGGTGGGGGTAGGGAAAGGGCAAGGTCATGTTCTGGAGGAGGGGTTGTGACTACATTAGGGTGTATGAGCCTAGCTGGGAGGTGGATGGCCGGGTCCACTGAGACCCTGGTTATCCCAGAAGCCTGTGTGGGCTTGGGGAGCTTGGAGTGGGGAGAGGGGGTGACTTCTCCGACCAGGCCTTTCTACCACCCTACCCTGGGTAAGGGCCTGGAGCAGGAAGCAGCGGCAAGGACCTCTGGAGCAGCCCATACCTGCCCTGGCCTGACTCTGCCACTGGCAGCACAGTCAACACAGCAGGTTCACTCACAGCAGAGGGCGAAGGCCATCATCAGCTCCCTTTATAAGGGAAGGGTCACGCGCTCGGTGTGCCGAGAGTGTCCTGCCTGGTCCTCTGTGCCTGGTGGGGTGGGGGTGCCAGGTGTGTCCAGAGGAGCCCAGTTGGTAGTGAGGCAGCCATGGGGCTAGAAGCACTGGTGCCCCTGGCCATGATAGTGGCCATCTTCCTGCTCCTGGTGGACCTGATGCACCGGCACCAACGCTGGGCTGCACGCTACCCGCCAGGTCCCCTGCCACTGCCCGGGCTGGGCAACCTTGCTGCATGTGGACTTCCAGAACACACCATACTGCTTCGACCAGGTGAGGGAGGAGGTCCTGGAGGGCGGCAGAGGTCCTGAGGATGCCCCACCACCAGCAAACATGGGTGGTGGGTTAAACCACAGGCTGGATCAGAAGCCAGGCTGAGAAGGGGAAGCAGGTTTGGGGGACGTCCTGGGGAAGGACATTTATACATGGCATGAAGGACTGGATTTTCCAAAGGCCAAGGAAGAGTAGGGCAAGGGCCTGGAGGTGGAGCTGGACTTGGCAGTGGGCATGCAAGCCCATTGGGCAACATATGTTATGGAGTACAAAGTCCCTTCTGCTGACACCAGAAGGAAAGGCCTTGGGAATGGAAGATGAGTTAGTCCTGAGTGCCGTTTAAATCACGAAATCGAGGATGAAGGGGGTGCAGTGACCCGGTTCAAACCTTTTGCACTGTGGGTCCTCGGGCCTCACTGCTCACCGGCATGGACCATCATCTGGGAATGGGATGCTAACTGGGGCCTCTCGGCAATTTTGGTGACTCTTGCAAGGTCATACCTGGGTGACGCATCCAAACTGAGTTCCTCCATCACAGAAGGTGTGACCCCCACCCCCGCCCCACGATCAGGAGGCTGGGTCTCCTCCTTCCACCTGCTCACTCCTGGTAGCCCCGGGGGTCGTCCAAGGTTCAAATAGGACTAGGACCTGTAGTCTGGGGTGATCCTGGCTTGACAAGAGGCCCTGACCCTCCCTCTGCAGTTGCGGCGCCGCTTCGGGGACGTGTTCAGCCTGCAGCTGGCCTGGACGCCGGTGGTCGTGCTCAATGGGCTGGCGGCCGTGCGCGAGGCGATGGTGACCCGCGGCGAGGACACGGCCGACCGCCCGCCTGCGCCCATCTACCAGGTCCTGGGCTTCGGGCCGCGTTCCCAAGGCAAGCGGCGGTGGGGACAGAGACAGATTTCCGTGGGACCCGGGTGGACAGTGACCGTAGCCCAAGCAGCGCCGACAGGGCGTGGGGTCCTGGACGTGAAACAGAGATAAAGGCCAGCGAGTGGGCTGAGGACAGTGGGCCAGGAAACCACCTGCACGGGGGAGGTGCGAGTCTGTGGGCTGGGAGGGGGCGGGGCTACTGCCCAGACCCGCCAGAAGCCCGGTGGGCGAGGCTGATGCGTCGAAGTGGCGGTGGCGGGGACCGCGCCTATGCTGCGGGCTCAGTGTGGGCGGGACGGGCGGGATCTTCCTTGAGTGGAAAGGTGGTCAGGGTGGGCAGAGACGAGGTGGGGCCAAACCCCGCCCCAGGCAGGGGAGCAATGTGGGTGAGCAAAGAGTGGGCCCTGTGCCCAGCTGGACCGGGCTAGGGACTGCGGGAGACCTTGTGGAGCGCCAGGGTTGGAGTGGGTGGCGGAGGGTGGGGCCAAGGCCTTCATGGCAACGCCCACGTGCCCGTCCCGCCCCCAGGGGTGATCCTGTCGCGCTATGGGCCCGCGTGGCGCGAGCAGAGGCGCTTCTCCGTGTCCACCTTGCGCAACTTGGGCCTGGGCAAGAAGTCCCTGGAGCGGTGGGTGACCGAGGAGGCCGCCTGCCTCTGTGCCGCCTTCGCCGACCAAGCCAGTGGGTGATGGGCAGAGGGGCACAAAGCGGGAACTGGGAAGGTGGAGGACTGGGAAGGCGACCCCTGACCCGCATCTCCCGCCCCCAGGACGCCCCTTTCACCCCAACGGCCTCCTGAACAAAGCGGCGAGCAACGTGATCGCCTCCCTCACCTGCGGGTGCCGCTTCGAGTACGACGACCCTCGCTTCCTCAGGCTACTGGACCTAGCTCAGAAGGGATTGAAGGAGGAGCTGGGCTTTCTGTGAGAGATGTGGAGCGAGGGACCGCAGGGTCTCTGCAGGGCGAGCTCCTGAGAGGTGCCGGGACTGCAGCCGGACCTCCAAGGAGCAGGGTTTGCATAGAGTGGTTTGGGAAAGGACATTCCAGAAGAGCTCACTGCTAGAGGAAGGGCCTTGAGGAGGAGGAGACATCTCAGATACGGTCGTGGGAGAGGTGTGCCCGGGTCAGGGGGCACCAAGAAAGGCCAAGGACCCTGTGCCTCCTGTCCACATTGGAGATTTTGATTTTTAGGTTTCTCCTCTGGCAGCCCAGGGCAAGGAGAGAGGGTGGAGGCTGGCACTTGGGGAGGGACTTGGGGAGGTGAGTGGTGGGGACAGGTAGGCCCTGGGTCTTCCCTGGAGGCAGCTGGGGCCTGAGACTGGTCCAGGTGAACGCAGAGCACAGGAGGGATTGAGACCCCGTTCTGTGTCAGCTGTAGATGCTGAATGTTGTCCCCCTCCTCCTGCGCATCCCAGGGCTGGCTGGCAAGGTCCTACGCTCCCAAAAGGCTTTCCTGACCCAGCTGGATGAGCTGCTGACCGAGCACAGAATGATCTGGGACCCAGCCTAGCCACCCCGAGACCTGACTGAGGCCTTCCTGGCAGAGAAGGAGAAGGTGAGAGTGGCTGACACGGTAGGGACCAGGGGTGGTGGGTTGAGCGTCCGGGAGGAATGAGGCAGGCAAAAGGTGGGTCCATTGGATCACTTGGCAAGTGGCACCTGGGCTGACAGGTGCAGAATGTGGAGGTCATTTGGGGGCTTTCCCGTTCTGTCCCCTGAGTACCCTCTCAGCCCTGCTCAGGCCAAGGGGAACCCTGAGAGCAGCTTCAATGATGAGAACCTGCGCATGGTGGTGGCTGACCTGTTCTTTGCCGGGATGGTGACCACCTCGATCACGCTGGCCTGGGGCCTCCTGCTCATGATCCTACGCCCGGATGTGCAGCGTGAGCCCAGCTGGGGCCCAGTGCAGGGGGCAAGGGAGGAAGGGTACAGGTGGGGGCCCCTGAGCTTAGCTGGGACACCCGGGACTCCAAGCACAGGCTTGGCCAGGTTCCTGTAAGCCTAACCTCCTCCAACACAGGAGGCAGGAGAGTGTCAGGGCTGGTCCCCTGGGTGCTGACCCATTGTGGGGACGCGTGTCTGTCCAGGCCGTGTCCAACAGATCGACAACGTGATAGGGCAGGTGTGGTGACCAGAGATGGGTGACCAGGCTCGCATGCCCTGCACCACTGCCGTGATTCACGAGGTGCAGCGCTTTGGGGACATCGTCCCCCTGGGTGTGACCCATATGACATCCCGTGACATCGAAGTACAGGGCTTCCGCATCCCTAAGGTAGGCCTGGCACCCTCCTCACCCCAGCTCAGCACCAGCCCCTGGTGATAGCCCCAGCATGGCCACTGCCAGGTGGGCCCAGTCTAGGAACCCTGGCCACCCAGTCCTCAATGCCACCACATCGACTGTCCCAGCCTGGGTGTGGGGTGCAGAGTATAGGCAGGGCTGGCCTGTCCATCCAGAGCCCCAGTCTAGTGGGGAAGGCAGACCAGGACCTGCCAGAATGTTGGAGGACCCCAATACCTGTAGGGAGAGGGGGTAGCGTGGGCGCTCCCAGGAGGTGTGACTGCGCCCTGCCGTGGGGTCGGAGAGGGTGCTCTGGAGCTTCTCGGGCACAGGACTAGTTGACAGAGTCCAGCTGTGTGCCAGGCAGTGTGTGTCCCCTGTGTGCTTGGGGGTCCCAGCATCCTAGAGTCCAGTCCCCACTCTCACCCTGCATCTCCTGCCCAGGGGATGATGCTCTTCACCAACCTGTCATCGGTGCTGAAGGATGAGGCCGTCTGGGAGAAGCCCTTCCGCTTCCACCCCGAACACTTCCTGGATGCCCAGGGCCACTTTGTGAAGCTGGAGGCCTTCCTGCCTTTCTCAGCAGGTGCCTGTGGGGAGCCCGGCTCCCTGTCCCCTTCCGTGGAGTCTTGCAGGGGTATCACCCGGGAGCCAGGCTCACTGACGCCCCTCCCCTCCCCACAGGCCGCCGTGCATGCCTCGGGGAGCCCCTGGCCCGCATAGAGCTCTTCCTCTTCTTCACCTCCCTGCTGCAGCACTTCAGCTTCTCGGTGCCCACCGGACAGCCCCGGCCCAGCCACTCTCGTGTCGTCGGCTTTCTGGTGACGCCATCCCCCTATGAGCTTTGTGCTGTGCCCCGCTAGAGTTGCTCCTCAGCTGGGACCCTGTTGTACAATAAATTAGTCTAGTGGCTCCCACTTGGTTTCTGTATCCAGTCTGGGCCCCTGCCAAGGTCCTGGTTGTGTTGGGTCGTCAGTCACCTGCCTGATGTCAGTGCTCACCCCTCACCCCTCACCCCTCACCTCATTCATTCATTTTTTTTTTTTTTTTTTTGAGATGGAGCCTACTCTGTCACCCAGGCTGGAGTGCAGTGGTGCAATCTCAGCTCACTGCAACCTCCGCCTCCAGAGTTCAAGCGATTCTCGTGCCTCAGCTTCCTGAGTAGCTGGGATTACAGGCACCGGGTACCACCCCCGGCTCATTTTTGTCTTTTTAGTAGTGATGGGTTTCGCCATGTTGGCCAGTCTGGTTTCAAACTCCTGACTTCACGTGACCACCAGCCTCAGCCTCCCAAAGTGCTGGGATTACAGGCGTGAGCCACCGAGACCAGCCTCACCTCATTCACTCTTACCTGGACGCCTGACTTTACTTGAGATACAGGCATAGTGATTCTCAGCAGGAAACAGCCTGCCCCCACGTCACGCCCAGAGACCCATCACTGGCTGCCTGGCTTGGTGACAAAGTCCATGCGTAAGTCTTGGCTGGGGTGGATATGAATAGGCATATGCCAAGAATCAACCCATTCCCTGGCTAGGGTGGGAGACTGTGTTGTGCTCCCCCAGACCACCCTCAGGTTCAGTGATTTCTAGAAGGTCTCACAGCCCTAGAAAAGCTGTTATTCTCCCTGTTAACAGTTTATTACAGAGAAGGGTACAGATTAAAGTCAGCAAAGATGAAAGGCACAGGGACCAGAGTCCAGAATGACCAGGCCAAGGCTGCAGCTCTCTTTTCTGGTGGACTCCTACAGGCAGTGCTTAATTCTCCCCCAACAGTAAGTGAGGCAGCAGAGAGCCCTGCCAGCCACGGAAGCTCACCTGGGCCTTGGTGTCCATGGTTTTTGTTGGGAGTTGGTCATCCTAGGCTTGAGCCCCCGCAGCATGGCTGACCTCAGTTACTCAGTCTCCAGCCCCTCCTGAAGTCAGATGGATACAGGCCTGACGGCCCCACCCTCGATCACATTGTTGGCATAAACTGTGTTGTACGGTCCAAGGCCCTAGCTATGTACAAAGACACTATTTCAGGCAGGACATTCCAAGGCCTTAGCAGATATCTCCCAGCCTCCTGTCAAGAGTCAGTTTGGACTCTTGGTCCAGTGGCTTGCATTGTGCAAGGAATGACTTCCCCACTTTTTACTACACAGGCCACCCCTCTTGGCTCTAACAGCAAAATGATATTAGTTTGAGCATCTGTGTGTGTGTGTGTGTGTGTGTGTGTGTGTGTGTGTGTTTTCTTGAGACAGGGTCTTGCTCTGTCACCGAGGCTGGAGTGCAGTGATGCCATCAGGGCTCACTGCAGCCTTGACTTCCTGGGTTCAAGCAATCCTCCCATCTCAGCCTCCCTAGTAGCTGGGACTGCAGGCACATGCCACCATGCTTTGCTAATTTTTGTATTTTTTGTAGAGACGGAGTTTCACCATGTTGGCCAGGCTGCTTTCGAACTCCCTATCTCAGGTCATCTGACTGCCTCAGCCCCCCAGAGTGCTGGGATTACAGGTGTAAGCTACTGTGCCCAGCCAAATTTCCTTCCTAATTTCTTCATTGAACCACTGGCCATTCCGGACCATATTGTTTAATTTTCACGTGTATGTATAGTTTCCAGAATTCCTCTTGTTGTTGATTTCCACTTTTATTCTGTTGTGGTCAGAGAAGATGCTTGATATTATTTTAACATTTGTAATGTTTTAAGACTTGCTTTGTGACCTAACATATGGTGTATCCTTGAGAATGATCCATGTGCTGAGGAGAAGAATGTGTATTCTGCAGACTTTAGACGAAGTGTTCTGTAAGTATCTAGTAGGTCCATTTCTTTTGTAGTGCAGATTAAGTCTAATGTTTTCTTATTGGGTTTCCATCTGGGACACCCGTCCAATGCTGAATGTGGGGTGTTGACGTCTTTAGCTGTTATTGCGTTAACGTCTCTCTTGGGCTCCAATAACATTTGCTTTACGTGCTCCAGTGTTGTGTGCATATGTATTTACAATTGTTATATTCTGTTGCTGGATGACCTTCTTTGTCTCCTCTTACAGTTTTTTTGGTTGTTGTTGTTTGTTTGTTTTGTTTTGGAGACGGAGTCTCGCTCTGTCACCCAGGCTGGAGTGCAGTGGCGCGATCTTGGCTCACTGCAAGCTTCGCCTCCCAGGTTGACGCCATTCTCCTGCCTCAGCCTCCTGAGTAGCTGGGACTACAGGCGCCCGCCACCACGCCTGGCTAATTTTTTGTATTTTTAGTAGAGACGGGGTTTCACCATGTTAGCCAGGATAGTCTCAATCTCCTGACCTCGTGATCCGCCCGTCTTGGCCTCCCAAAGTGCTGGGATTACAGGCGTGAGCCACCACACCCGGCCTCCTCTTACAGTTTTTGTTTTAAAATCTGTTCTGTCTAAGTATTGCTACTCCTGCTCTTTTTTGTTTTCCATTGGCATGGAGTATCTTTTTCCATCCCTTTATTTTCAGTCCATGTGTATCTTTACAGGTGAAGTGTGTTTCTTCTAGACAAAAGAGCATTGAGCTTTGCTTTTTCATCCATTCAGCCACTCTGTGTCTTTGTATTGGAGAGTTTAGTCCATTTACATTCAATGTTATTATTGCTAAGCAGGGACTTACTCCTGCTATTTTGTTATTTCTTTTCTCACTGTTTTGTGGTCTTCTCTTTTTTTTTTTTTTTTTTTTTTTTTTCCTTGTCTTCCTTTTAATGAAGGTGATTTTCTCTGGTGGTATGATTTAATTTCTTGCTTTTTTGTGTGTGTGTATCCATTGTGTGTTTTTTCTTCTTTTCTTTTTGAGACACAGTCTCACTTATTGTGTGCTTTTTGATTTGAGGTTGCCGTGAGGCTTGCAAATATTATCTTATAACTCATTATTTTAAACGGATGACAACACTGATTGTGTAAACAAACATAAAGCAAAAGGAAGACTAATAAAAACTCTACACTTTAAGTTCATCTTAGTGCTTTTTAACTTTTTGTTGTTTCTCTTTTTTTGTTTTTGAGATAAAGTCTTGCTCTGTTGCCCAGGCTAGAGTGCAGTGGCACGATCTCAGCTCACTGTAACCTCCACTTCCCAGGTTCAACCGATTCTCCTGCCTCAGCCTCCTGGGTAGCAGGCGCCCACCACCATGCCCAGCTAAATTTTTTGTATTTTTAGTA
The DNA here is from genome assembly GCF_000001405.40 of Homo sapiens. NCBI lineage: Eukaryota > Metazoa > Chordata > Mammalia > Primates > Hominidae > Homo > Homo sapiens. Next base: position 39,174 of record NW_014040930.1, on the reverse strand, counting down.
GAGATGGGGTTTCACCATGTTGGCCAGGCTTGTCTCGAACTCCTGCCCTCAGGTGATCCACCCACCTCAGCCTTACAAAGTGCTGGGATTACCTGCGTGAGCCACCGGGTCCGGCCTCTTTATGTCTTACTGTACTGTCTGTCTTGAAAAGTACTTATTATTTTTGATTGGTTCATCATTTAGTCTAATTAAAATAAGAGTAGTTTACACACCACAATTACAGTATTATAATACTCTGTTTTTCTGTGTGCTTACTATTACCAGTGAGTTTTGTACCTTTAGATGATTTCTTCTTGCTCATTAATATCCTTTTTTTTTTCAGATTGAAAAACTCCCTTTAGCATTTCTTGTGGGATATAGGTCTGGTGTTGATGAAATCTCGCAGCTTTTGTTTGTCTGGGAAGGTCTTTATTTCTCCTTCCTGTTGGAAGGATATTTTTGCCAGATACGTTATTCTAGGCTAAAAGTTTTTTTTCCTTCAGCACTTTAAATATGTCATGCCACTCCCCCCTGGCCTGTAAGGTTTCCACTGGAAAGGTGGCTGCCCCATGTCATGTATTGGAGCTCTACTGCATGTTATTTGTTTCTTTTCTCTTGCTGCTTTTAGGATCCTTTCTTTATCCTTGACCTTTCGGAGTTTAATTATCAGATGCCTTGAGGTCGTCTTCTTTGGGTTAAATCTGCTTGGTGTTCTATAAACTTCTTGTACAAAAAATCAGCCAGGCATGGTGGTGGGCACCTGTAATCCCAGCTACTTGGGAGGCTGAGGCAGGAGAATCGCTTGAACCCTGGAGGTGGAGGTTGCAGTGAGCCGAGATCGCATCATTGCACTCCCACCTGGGCGACAGAGCAAAACTCCGTCTCAAAAAAAAAATTATTTGGGCTCGGTGGTGCCTGTAGTCCCAGCTACTTGGGAGGCAGGAGGTCCACTTGATGTTGAGATTGCAGTGAGCCATGATCCTGCCACTGCACTCCGGCCCGGGCAACAGAGTGAGACCCTGTCTAAAGAAAAAATAAAAATAAAAAAGCAACATATCCTAAATAAAGGATCCTCCATAATGTTTCCACCAGATTTCTAATCAGAAACATGGAGGCCAGGAAGCAGTGGAGAATGACGACCCTCAGGCAGCCCTGGAGGATGCTGTCACAGGCTGGGGCAAGGGCCTTCAGGCTACCAACTGGGAGCTCTGGGAACAGCCCTGTTGCAAACAGGAAGTCATGGCCCGGCCAGAGCCCAGAATGTGGGCTGAGCTGGGATCCATGTGACAGCTTTGAGGCTCACCGGGAGCAGCCTCTGGACAGGAGAGGTCCCATCCAGGAAACCTCGGGCATGGCTGGGAAGTGGGGTACTTGGTGCCGGGTCTGTATGTGTGTGTGACTGGTGTGTGTGAGAGAGAATGTGTGCCCTGAGTGTCAGTGTGAGTCTGTGTATGTGTGAATATTGTCTTTGTGTGGGTGATTTTCTGCATGTGTAATCGTGTCCCTGCAAGTGTGAACAAGTGGACAAGTGTCTGGGAGTGGACAAGAGATCTGTGCACCATCAGGTGTGTGCATAGCGTCTGTGCATGTCAAGAGTGCAAGGTGAAGTGAAGGGACCAGGCCCATGATGCCACTCATCATCAGGAGCTCTAAGGCCCCAGGTAAGTGCCAGTGACAGATAAGGGTGCTGAAGGTCACTCTGGAGTGGGCAGGTGGGGGTAGGGAAAGGGCAAGGTCATGTTCTGGAGGAGGGGTTGTGACTACATTAGGGTGTATGAGCCTAGCTGGGAGGTGGATGGCCGGGTCCACTGAGACCCTGGTTATCCCAGAAGCCTGTGTGGGCTTGGGGAGCTTGGAGTGGGGAGAGGGGGTGACTTCTCCGACCAGGCCTTTCTACCACCCTACCCTGGGTAAGGGCCTGGAGCAGGAAGCAGCGGCAAGGACCTCTGGAGCAGCCCATACCTGCCCTGGCCTGACTCTGCCACTGGCAGCACAGTCAACACAGCAGGTTCACTCACAGCAGAGGGCGAAGGCCATCATCAGCTCCCTTTATAAGGGAAGGGTCACGCGCTCGGTGTGCCGAGAGTGTCCTGCCTGGTCCTCTGTGCCTGGTGGGGTGGGGGTGCCAGGTGTGTCCAGAGGAGCCCAGTTGGTAGTGAGGCAGCCATGGGGCTAGAAGCACTGGTGCCCCTGGCCATGATAGTGGCCATCTTCCTGCTCCTGGTGGACCTGATGCACCGGCACCAACGCTGGGCTGCACGCTACCCGCCAGGTCCCCTGCCACTGCCCGGGCTGGGCAACCTTGCTGCATGTGGACTTCCAGAACACACCATACTGCTTCGACCAGGTGAGGGAGGAGGTCCTGGAGGGCGGCAGAGGTCCTGAGGATGCCCCACCACCAGCAAACATGGGTGGTGGGTTAAACCACAGGCTGGATCAGAAGCCAGGCTGAGAAGGGGAAGCAGGTTTGGGGGACGTCCTGGGGAAGGACATTTATACATGGCATGAAGGACTGGATTTTCCAAAGGCCAAGGAAGAGTAGGGCAAGGGCCTGGAGGTGGAGCTGGACTTGGCAGTGGGCATGCAAGCCCATTGGGCAACATATGTTATGGAGTACAAAGTCCCTTCTGCTGACACCAGAAGGAAAGGCCTTGGGAATGGAAGATGAGTTAGTCCTGAGTGCCGTTTAAATCACGAAATCGAGGATGAAGGGGGTGCAGTGACCCGGTTCAAACCTTTTGCACTGTGGGTCCTCGGGCCTCACTGCTCACCGGCATGGACCATCATCTGGGAATGGGATGCTAACTGGGGCCTCTCGGCAATTTTGGTGACTCTTGCAAGGTCATACCTGGGTGACGCATCCAAACTGAGTTCCTCCATCACAGAAGGTGTGACCCCCACCCCCGCCCCACGATCAGGAGGCTGGGTCTCCTCCTTCCACCTGCTCACTCCTGGTAGCCCCGGGGGTCGTCCAAGGTTCAAATAGGACTAGGACCTGTAGTCTGGGGTGATCCTGGCTTGACAAGAGGCCCTGACCCTCCCTCTGCAGTTGCGGCGCCGCTTCGGGGACGTGTTCAGCCTGCAGCTGGCCTGGACGCCGGTGGTCGTGCTCAATGGGCTGGCGGCCGTGCGCGAGGCGATGGTGACCCGCGGCGAGGACACGGCCGACCGCCCGCCTGCGCCCATCTACCAGGTCCTGGGCTTCGGGCCGCGTTCCCAAGGCAAGCGGCGGTGGGGACAGAGACAGATTTCCGTGGGACCCGGGTGGACAGTGACCGTAGCCCAAGCAGCGCCGACAGGGCGTGGGGTCCTGGACGTGAAACAGAGATAAAGGCCAGCGAGTGGGCTGAGGACAGTGGGCCAGGAAACCACCTGCACGGGGGAGGTGCGAGTCTGTGGGCTGGGAGGGGGCGGGGCTACTGCCCAGACCCGCCAGAAGCCCGGTGGGCGAGGCTGATGCGTCGAAGTGGCGGTGGCGGGGACCGCGCCTATGCTGCGGGCTCAGTGTGGGCGGGACGGGCGGGATCTTCCTTGAGTGGAAAGGTGGTCAGGGTGGGCAGAGACGAGGTGGGGCCAAACCCCGCCCCAGGCAGGGGAGCAATGTGGGTGAGCAAAGAGTGGGCCCTGTGCCCAGCTGGACCGGGCTAGGGACTGCGGGAGACCTTGTGGAGCGCCAGGGTTGGAGTGGGTGGCGGAGGGTGGGGCCAAGGCCTTCATGGCAACGCCCACGTGCCCGTCCCGCCCCCAGGGGTGATCCTGTCGCGCTATGGGCCCGCGTGGCGCGAGCAGAGGCGCTTCTCCGTGTCCACTTTGCGCAACTTGGGCCTGGGCAAGAAGTCGCTGGAGCAGTGGGTGACCGAGGAGGCCGCCTGCCTTTGTGCCGCCTTCGCCGACCAAGCCGGTGGGTGATGGGCAGAAGGGCACAAAGCGGGAACTGGGAAGGCGGGGGACGGAGAAGGCAACCCCTTACCCGCATCTCCCACCCCCAGGACGCCCCTTTCGCCCCAACGGCCTCTTGGACAAAGCCGTGAGCAACGTGATCGCCTCCCTCACCTGCGGGCGCCGCTTCGAGTACGACGACCCTCGCTTCCTCAGGCTGCTGGACCTAGCTCAGGAGGGACTGAAGGAGGAGTCGGGCTTCCTGCGCGAGGTGCGGAGCGAGAGACCGAGGAGTCTCTGCAGGGCGAGCTCCTGAGAGGTGCCGGGGCTGGACTGGGGCCTCCGAAGGGCAGGATTTGCATAGATGGGTTTGGGAAAGGACATTCCAGGAGACCCCACTGTAAGAAGGGCCTGGAGGAGGAGGGGACATCTCAGACATGGTCGTGGGAGAGGTGTGCCCGGGTCAGGGGGCACCAGGAGAGGCCAAGGACTCTGTACCCCCGTCCACGTTGGAGATTTCGATTTTAGGTTTCTCCTCTGGGCAAGGAGAGAGAGGGTGGAGGCTGGCACTTGGGGAGGGACTTGGTGAGGTCAGTGGTAAGGACAGGCAGGCCCTGGGTCTTCCTGGAGATGGCTGGGGCCTGAGACTGGTCCAGGTGAACGCAGAGCACAGGAGGGATTGAGACCCCGTTCTGTCTGGTGTAGGTGCTGAATGCTGTCCCCGTCCTCCCGCACATCCCAGCGCTGGCTGGCAAGGTCCTACGCTTCCAAAAGGCTTTCCTGACCCAGCTGGATGAGCTGCTAACTGAGCACAGGATGACCTGGGACCCAGCCCAGCCACCCCGAGACCTGACTGAGGCCTTCCTGGCAAAGAAGGAGAAGGTGAGAGTGGCTGCCACGGTGGGGGGCAAGGGTGGTGGGTTGAACGTCCCAGGAGGAATGAGGGGAGGCTGGGCAAAAGGTTGGACCAGTGCATCACCCGGCGAGCCGCATCTGGGCTGACAGGTGCAGAATTGGAGGTCATTTGGGGGCTACCCCGTTCTATCCCCTGAGTATCCTCTCGGCCCTGCTCAGGCCAAGGGGAGCCCTGAGAGCAGCTTCAATGATGAGAACCTGCGCATAGTGGTGGGTAACCTGTTCCTTGCCGGGATGGTGACCACCTCGACCACGCTGGCCTGGGGCCTCCTGCTCATGATCCTACACCTGGATGTGCAGCGTGAGCCCAGCTGGGGCCCAAGGCAGGGACTGAGGGAGGAAGGGTACAGCTGGGGGCCCCTGGGCTTAGCTGGGACACCCGGGGCTTCCAGCACAGGCGTGGCCAGGCTCCTGTAAGCCTAACTTCCTCCAACACAGGAGGAAGGAGAGTGTCCCCTGGGTGCTGACCCATTGTGGGGACGCATGTCTGTCCAGTCCGTGTCCAACAGGAGATCGACGACGTGATAGGGCAGGTGCGGCGACCAGAGATGGGTGACCAGGCTCACATGCCCTGCACCACTGCCGTGATTCACGAGGTGCAGCGCTTTGGGGACATCATCCCCCTGAGTGTGACCCATATGACATCCCGTGACATCGAAGTACAGGGCTTCCGCATCCCTAAGGTAGGCCTGGCGCCCTCCTCACCCCAGCTCAGCACCAGCCCCTGGTGATAGCCCCAGCATGGCTACTGCCAGGTGGGCCCACTCTAGGAACCCTGGCCACCTAGTCCTCAATGCCACCACACTGACTGTCCCCGCTTGGATGGGGGGTCCAGAGTATAGGCAGGGCTGGCCTGTCCATCCAGAGCCCCCGTCTAGTGGGGAAGACAAATCAGGACCTGCCAGAATGTTGGAGGACCCAGCGCCTGCAGGGAGAGGGGGCAGTGTGGGTGCCTCTGAGAGGTGTGACTGCGCCCTGCTGTGGGGTCGGAGAGGGTACTGTGGAGCTTCTCGGGCGCAGGACTAGTTGACAGAGTCCAGCTGTGTGCCAGGCAGTGTGTGTCCCCCGTGTGTTTGGTGGCAGGGGTCCCAGCATCCTAGAGTCCAGTCCCCACTCTCACCCTGCATCTCCTGCCCAGGGAACGACACTCATCACCAACCTGTCATCGGTGCTGAAGGATGAGGCCGTCTGGAAGAAGCCCTTCCGCTTCCACCCCGAACACTTCCTGGATGCCCAGGGCCACTTTGTGAAGCCGGAGGCCTTCCTGCCTTTCTCAGCAGGTGCCTGTGGGGAGCCCGGCTCCCTGTCCCCTTCCGTGGAGTCTTGCAGGGGTATCACCCAGGAGCCAGGCTCACTGACGCCCCTCCCCTCCCCACAGGCCGCCGTGCATGCCTCGGGGAGCCCCTGGCCCGCATGGAGCTCTTCCTCTTCTTCACCTCCCTGCTGCAGCACTTCAGCTTCTCCGTGGCCGCCGGACAGCCCCGGCCCAGCCACTCTCGTGTCGTCAGCTTTCTGGTGACCCCATCCCCCTACGAGCTTTGTGCTGTGCCCCGCTAGAATGGGGTACCTAGTCCCCAGCCTGCTCCCTAGCCAGAGGCTCTAATGTACAATAAAGCAATGTGGTAGTTCCAACTTGGGTCCCCTGCTCACGCCCTCGTTGGGATCATCCTCCTCAGGGCAACCCCACCCCTGCCTCATTCCTGCTTACCCCACCGCCTGGCCGCATTTGAGACGGGTACGTTGAGGCTGAGCAGATGTCAGTTACCCTTGCCCATAATCCCATGTCCCCCACTGACCCAACTCTGACTGCCCAGATTGGTGACAAGGACTACATTGTCCTGGCATGTGGGGAAGGGGCCAGAATGGGCTGACTAGAGGTGTCAGTCAGCCCTGGATGTGGTGGAGAGGGCAGGACTCAGCCTGGAGGCCCATATTTCAGGCCTAACTCAGCCCACCCCACATCAGGGACAGCAGTCCTGCCAGCACCATCACAACAGTCACCTCCCTTCATATATGACACCCCAAAATGGAAGACAAATCATGTCAGGGAGCTATATGCCAGGGCTACCTCCCAGGGCTCAGTCGGCAGGTGCCAGAACATTCCCTGGGAAGGCCCCAGGAAAACCCAGGACCGAGCCACCGCCCTCAGCCTGTCACCTTGTGTCCAAAATTGGTGGGTTCTTGGTCTCACTGACTTCAAGAATGAAGCCGTGGACCCTCACGGTGAGTGTTACAGTTCTTAAAGATGGTGTGTTCAGAGTTTGTTCCTTCTGATGTTAAGACGTGTTCAGAGTTTCTTCCTTCTGGTGGGTGCGTGGTCTTGCTGGCTTCAGGAGTGAAGCTGCAGACCTTCACAGTGAGTGTTACGGCTCTTAAGGCTGCACGTACGGAGTTGTTCATTCTTCCTGGTGGGTTTGTGGTCTCACTGGCCTCAGGAGTGAAACTGCAGTCCTTCCAGTGTTACAACTCATAAAGGCAGTGTGGACCCAATGAGGGAGCAGCAGCAGCAAGACTTACTGCAAACAGCAAAAGAATGATGGCAACCAGGTTGCCGCTGCTACTTCAGGCAGCCTGCTTTTATTCCCTTATCTGACCCCCACCCACATCCTGCTGATTGGCCCATTTTACAGACAGTGGATTGGTCCACTTACAGAGAGCTGATTGGTGCATTTACAATCCCTGAGCTAGACACAGAGTACTGATTGGTATATTTACAAACCTTGAGCTAGACACAGAGTGCTGAATGGTGTATTTACAATCCCTTAGCTAGACATAAAGGTTGTCCCAGTCCCCACTAGATTAGCTAGATAGAGTAGACAGAGAGCACTGATTGGTGCGTTTACAAACCTTGAGTTAGACACAGGGTGCTGACTGGTGTGTTTACAAACCTTGAGCTAGACACAGAGTGCTGATTGGTGTATTTACAATCTTTTAGCTAGAAATAAAGGTTCCCCAAGTCCCCACCAGATTAGCTAGATAGAGTGCTAATTGGTGCATGCACGAACCCGGAGCTAGACACAGAGTGCTGATTGGTGCATATACAATCCTCTGGCTAGACATAAAAGTTCTCCAAGTCCCCACCTGACTCAGGAGCCCAGCCAGCTTCGCCTAGTGGATCCTATGCCAGGGCCACAGGCAGAGCTGCCTGCTAGTCCCACACCGGGCACCTGTACTCCTCAGCCCTTGGGCAGTGGACGGGACCAGGTGCCGTGGAGCAGTGGGAGGCACCCATCCGGGAGGCTCGGGCCTCGCAGGGAGCCCACCGTAGGGAGGCTTGGGCATGGCAGGCTGCAAGTCCTGAGCCCTGCCCCGCGGGGAGGTGACTGAGGCCTGGCGACAATTCAAGTGTGGTGAGCGCCGGCAGGCCAGCAGTACTGGGGGACCCGGTGCCCCCTCTGCAGCTGCTGGCCCAGGTGCTAAGCCCCTCACTGCCTGGGGCCAGAGGCACCAGCCGGCCGCTCCGAGTGCAGGGCCCGCTGAGCCCCTGCCCACCCAGAACTGGTGCTGGCCCGCGAGCAACCCAGGTTCCCGCACACGCCTCTCCCTCCATACCTCCCCGCAAGCAGACGGAGCCGGCTCCAGCCTCCACCAGTCCAGAGAGGGGCTCCCACAGTGCAGCGCTGGGCTGAAGGGCTCCTCAAGTGTGGTCAGAGCAGAAGCTGAGGCCGAGGAGGCGCTGAGAGCGAGCGAGGACCACCAGCACGTTGACACCTCTCAACCTCACCACAGGACTGGCCACCTCTCTGGGCCCTCAGGGATGCTGCTGTCTGGACCCCTGACCAGTGACGAGTTCGCACTCAGGGCCAGGCTGGCGCTGGAGGAGGACACTTGTTTGGCTCCAACCCTAGGTACCATCCTCCCAGTAGGGATCAGGCAGGGCCCACAGGCCTGCCCTAGGGACAGGAGTCAACCTTGGACCCATAAGGCACTGGGGCGGGCAGAGAAGGAGGAGGTGGCATGGGCAGCTGAGAGCCAGAGACCCTGACCCTAGTCCTTGCTCTGCCATTACCCCGTGTGACCCCGGGCCCACCCTTCCCCACCCTTCCCCACCCTTCCCCACCCCGGGCTTCTGTTTCCCTTCTGCCAACGAGAAGGCTGCTTCACCTGCCCCGAGTCCTGTCTTCCTGCTCTGCCTTCTGGGGCTGTGGCCCTTGCTGGCCTGGAGCCCCAACCAAGGGCAGGGACTGCTGTCCTCCACGTCTGTCCTCACCGACATAATGGGCTGGGCTGGGCACACAGGCAGTGCCCAAGAGTTTCTAATGAGCATATGATTACCTGAGTCCTGGGCAGACCTTCTTAGGGAACAGCCTGGGACAGAGAACCACAGACACTCTGAGGAGCCACCTGAGGCCTCTTTTGCCAGAGGACCCTACAGCCTCCCTGGCAGCAGTTCCGCCAGCATTTCTGTAAATGCCCTCATGCCAGGGTGCGGCCCGGCTGTCAGCACGAGAGGGACGTTGGTCTGTCCCCTGGCACCGAGTCAGTCAGAAGGGTGGCCAGGGCCCCCTTGGGCCCCTCCAGAGACAATCCACTGTGGTCACACGGCTCGGTGGCAGGAAGTGCTGTTCCTGCAGCTGTGGGGACAGGGAGTGTGGATGAAGCCAGGCTGGGTTTGTCTGAAGACGGAGGCCCCGAAAGGTGGCAGCCTGGCCTATAGCAGCAGCAACTCTTGGATTTATTGGAAAGATTTTCTTCACGGTTCTGAGTCTTGGGGGTGTTAGAGGCTCAGAACCAGTCCAGCCAGAGCTCTGTCATGGGCACGTAGACCCGGTCCCAGGGCCTTTGCTCTTTGCTGTCCTCAGAGGCCTCTGCAAAGTAGAAACAGGCAGCCTTGTGAGTCCCCTCCTGGGAGCAACCAACCCTCCCTCTGAGATGCCCCGGGGCCAGGTCAGCTGTGGTGAAAGGTAGGGATGCAGCCAGCTCAGGGGAGTGGCCCAGAGTTCCTGCCCACCCAAGGAGGCTCCCAGGAAGGTCAAGGCACCTGACTCCTGGGCTGCTTCCCTCCCCTCCCCTCCCCAGGTCAGGAAGGTGGGAAAGGGCTGGGGTGTCTGTGACCCTGGCAGTCACTGAGAAGCAGGGTGGAAGCAGCCCCCTGCAGCACGCTGGGTCAGTGGTCTTACCAGATGGATACGCAGCAACTTCCTTTTGAACCTTTTTATTTTCCTGGCAGGAAGAAGAGGGATCCAGCAGTGAGATCAGGCAGGTTCTGTGTTGCACAGACAGGGAAACAGGCTCTGTCCACACAAAGTCGGTGGGGCCAGGATGAGGCCCAGTCTGTTCACACATGGCTGCTGCCTCTCAGCTCTGCACAGACGTCCTCGCTCCCCTGGGATGGCAGCTTGGCCTGCTGGTCTTGGGGTTGAGCCAGCCTCCAGCACTGCCTCCCTGCCCTGCTGCCTCCCACTCTGCAGTGCTCCATGGCTGCTCAGTTGGACCCACGCTGGAGACGTTCAGTCGAAGCCCCGGGCTGTCCTTACCTCCCAGTCTGGGGTACCTGCCACCTCCTGCTCAGCAGGAATGGGGCTAGGTGCTTCCTCCCCTGGGGACTTCACCTGCTCTCCCTCCTGGGATAAGACGGCAGCCTCCTCCTTGGGGGCAGCAGCATTCAGTCCTCCAGGTCTCCTGGGGGTCGTGACCTGCAGGAGGAATAAGAGGGCAGACTGGGCAGAAAGGCCTTCAGAGCACCTCATCCTCCTGTTCTCACACTGGGGTGTCACAGTCCTGGGAAGTTCTTCCTTTTCAGTTGAGCTGTGGTAACCTTGTGAGTTTCCTGGAGGGGGCCTGCCACTACCCTTGGGACTCCCTGCCGTGTGTCTGGGTCTAACTGAGCTCTGAAAGGAGAGAGCCCCAGCCCTGGGCCTTCCAGGGGAAGCCTTACCTCAGAGGTTGGCTTCTTCCTACTCTTGACTTTGCGTCTCTGCAGAGGGAGGTGGGAGGGGTGACACAACCCTGACACCCACACTATGAGTGATGAGTAGTCCTGCCCCGACTGGCCCATCCTTTCCAGGTGCAGTCCCCCTTACTGTGTCTGCCAAGGGTGCCAGCACAGCCGCCCCACTCCAGGGGAAGAGGAGTGCCAGCCCTTACCCACCTGAGTGGGCACAGTGTAGCATTTATTCATTAGCCCCCACACTGGCCTGACCATCTCCCCTGTGGGCTGCATGACAAGGAGAGAGAACAGGCTGAGGTGAGAGCTACTGTCAACACCTAAACCTAAAAAATCTATAATTGGGCTGGGCAGGGTGGCTCACGCCTGTAATCCCAGCACTTTGGGAGGCCGAGATGGGTGGATCACCTGAGGTCAGATGTTCGAGACCAGCCTGGCCAACATGGTGAAACCCCGTCTCTACTAAAAATACAAAAAATTAGCTGGGCGTGGTGGTGGGTGCCTGTAATCCCAGCTACTCAGGAGGCTGAGGCAGGAGAATTGCTTGAACCTGGGAGGCAGAGGCTGCAGTGAGCCGAGATCGCATCATTGCACTCCAGCCTGGTCAACAAGAGTGAAACTGTCTTAAAAAAAAAATCTATAATTGATATCTTTAGAAAGATAAAACTTTGCATTCATGAAATAAGAATAGGAGGGTCTAAAATAAAAATGTTCAAACACCCACCACCACTAATTCTTGACAAAAATATAGTCTGGGTGCCTTAGCTCATGCCTGTAATCCCAGCATTTTGGGAGGCTAAGGCAGGAGGATTGTTTGAGCCTAGGAATTCAACACCAGCCTGGGCCACCTAAGGAGACCCCATCTCTACAAAAAATTAAAATACTGGCTGGGTGTGGTGGCACACACCTGTAGTTCCAGCTGCTTGGGAGGCTGAGGTGGGAGGATCACTTGAGTCCAGGAACAAAGCTGCAGTGAACTGTGATCGTGCCACTGCACTCCAGCCTGGGCAACAGAGAAAGACCTTGCCTTAAAAATAAAAAATATAATAATAGGAATGCAAAATCTAATCAAAGTATAGAAGCTAAACTTGAAAAAAATATTTTCCAGAAAGAACAGAGAAGAGGTCAGGAGCTCCAACAGCTAAATTGTTGTTTAGATGTTTCTGAAACAGGCAGCAGAGACAACAGACTAGGAGGCAAGGAAAGATGTCTAATAAATACGTTTCTTTTTTGTCAAGACAAGTTCTCACAGAGGAAGAACATGAGTTTCCAGTAGAGAAGGAAACACCAAGTGTTCATGACAATGAATGAAGGGGACCCAGCCCCAATTTTGTTGTCAAGAAATTTCACAACACTGAGGACAGAGTGGAACCCAAAAACTTCCAGAGAGAAAAAAGTCTGAGCTTCAGGAATTCAATATTCATCAGACTTCTCAACACCAACCTTTGAAGCTATAAGATAATGAAGACCTTCAAAATCTGAGAGAAAATATTTCCAATCTAGAATTCTATACCTAGCCAAATGCTATGCAAGTATGAATTGAGGTCTTTTCGGATACATAAATGTCTCAAGACTACCCCTCAGGAAGCAACCGGAGGTTGTACTTCACTAAAATAAAGGAGAAATAGAAAAGAAGATAACATGGGACCCAGCACAACAGGCAGGGAGAGCCCCTGAGCATAAGGGTGAATGGGGAGCTCAGGAGGACAGCTGGGCAGCAGACCTCCAGGGTGCCCCATCCAGATGGAATCAGGGAGATGGAGGGCTCCTGAGGTATGTCTCCATGAAAATGATCATATGGAGAAATGACGTGATCTGTCTAAATGTACTGCAAAGAGATTTCTATTTTTGGCAGAAAATTTGGATGAATTAATTATATAATAGATGCACAAAAAACTAAAGAAAGAGAAGAAGAAAAACTAAAATCATGACTCAACTGGGACTACTGTCTACATTTTTTGTTTTGAGAAAGAGTCTTGCTCTGTTGCCCAGACTGGAGTGCAGTGATCACGTTTCATTGCAGCCTCCACAACCTGTGCTCAAGTAAGTGACTCTCTTACCTCAGCCTCCTTAGTAGCTGGGATCACAGGGCACCACCACACTCAGCTAATTTTTTTTTTTAAATAGACAGTGTCTCCCAATGTTGTCCAGGCTGGTCTCGAAGTCCTGGACTCAAGCGATCCTCCCATGTTGACCTCTCAAGTAGTTGGGATTACAGTCATGAGCCACTGTGCCTGACCTAGCTAATTTTTTTCTGATTTATTTATTTATTTTTTGTACAGAGTCTCACTATGTTGACCAGGCTGGCCTGGAACTTCTGAGCTCAAGTGATCCTCCTGCCTTCGCCTCCCAAAGTGCAGAGATTATAGGTGTAAACTATCACGCCTGGCCTGTTTACATAGTTTAATAATGTAAATCTTCAATACCGATCTAATAAAAATTGAAATATGCCTTTTAGAATGGCTTTCAAAGATAACAAATGCTGGAGAGGATGTAGAACAACTGGAACCTCTCGGTTATTGCTGGTGAGACAGCCGCTTTGAAAAAGTTTGAGTTTCTTACAAAATTAAACTTACACTTACACTTACCATATGACCCAAAAATTCCACTGCTTGCTCTTTACTCAAGTATAAGGAAAATCTATGTACACACAAAACTTGTACGTGAATATTTATTAATAGTCATTTTATGCCCCAAACTAGAAATAGTCCAAATGTTCTGGAACATCCATACAACGGACCACCACTCAATAAAAGGAACAAACTACGGATACACGTGACTAGATGAATCTCAAATGCTTTGTGCTAAGTAAAATAAACCAGACTGAAAAGGCTACCATACGTTTCCATTTATATGACAATCTTGCAAAGTCAAAACCACAGGAACAGGAAACTGTTCACTGATTGCCAGGGTGTGGGAGTAGGAGGAAGGGCTGACTACAGGTGACTATGGAGGATTTTTTTTTTTCTGAGACGGAGTCTCTGTCGCCCAGGCTGGAGTGTACTGGCACGATCTCGGCTCACTGCAACATCCACCTCCTGGGTTTAAGGTATTTTTAGTAGAGACGGGGTTTCACTATGTTGGCCAGGCTGGTCTCAAACTCCTGACCTCAGGTGATCCACCCGCTTCGGCCTCCCAAAGTGCTGGGATTATAGGCGTGAGCCACCGAGGCCAGCCACTTTTTTTTTTTTTTAAAGACAGAGTCTTGCTGTGTCACTCAGGCTGGAGTGCAGTGGCGTGATCCCAGCTCACTGCAGCCTTAACATCCTGCACTCAAGTGATCCTTCTACCTCAGCTTCCTGAGTAGCTGGGACCACAGGCACACCTCACCACACCCAGCTAATTTTTAATTTTTTTGTAGAGACAGGGTCTATGTTGCCCAGGCTGGTCTTGAACTCCTGGGCTCCACCAATCCTGCCTTGCCCTCCTCACAGTGCCCGGCCCTTAGATTCTCTCTTTAACCTCTAACTCCACCCCGTCTTCCTCACTTTCAGCAGAGAGCATAGGCACCATCAGATGGGCATTTCCTCAACTTGCTGCCACCAAACCCATTCACTCACCGGCTTCTCATAGGCCATTTCCTCTTCCAGGGGATGAGGGGAGGAGGCTCCCCTCCCTCTCCAAAGCTAGCCCTACTCCTGTGCCCCATTTCATCTGGTCTTCTCACCTGGGCATTTGGAGATCTCGTCTCACCTCAATATTCTCCTTTTCCTTTTTTCTGGCTCCTTCCATCAGCATCTAAACACATTGCTGATCTCTTCTATTAAAAAGAAAAAAGCCCTTCTCCCTTGAACCCATATTCCTTCTCCAGCTAGCGTCCTGACCCCTACCCTTCACACCAGTCTCCTGAGAGCGGTGTTGGCAGGGGGGTGTGTTTACTGCTTTCTACCTCTCCCGCGCTCCACAACCCACTTCAACCTGCATCTGTCTCCATAAGCCTCTGAAACCCCTCTCACTGAGGTCACCAGTACGCTCCTAGTCACCAAACCCAGATGACTCTTTCCTTTTTTTCTTTTTTTTTTTTTTTTTGAGACGGAGTCTCGCTCTGTCGCCCAGGCTGGAGTGCAGTGGCGTGATCTCGGCTCACTGCAAGCTCCGCCTCCCGGGTTCACACCATTCTCTTGCTTCAGCCTCCCGAGTAGCTGAGACTACAGGCGGCCCGCCACGAGGCCCAGCTAATTTTTTTGTATTTACTAGCAGAGGCGGGGTTTCCCCATGTTAGCCAGGATGGTCCTGATCTCCTGACCTCGTGATCCGCCTGCCTCGGTCTTCCAAAGTGCTGGGATTACAGGCATGAGCCACTGCACCCGGCCCCAGCTGACCCTTTCTTTAACGACCTCGCCTTTTCTCTTGGCTGCTTGACCTCTCATGCTCTGGTTTTCCTCCTGCCTCCCACTCCTCTCTCTCTCTATCTCTCAGTCTCTATCTCTGTCTCTCTTTCTGTCTCTGCCTCTCTCAGTCTCTATTTCTGTCTCTGCCTCTCTCAGTCTCTATTTCTGTCTCTGCCTCTCTCTGTGTATCTCTATCTGTCTCTCTCTCTGTATCTCTGTCTCTCTCTGTATCTCTAGCTCTGTCTCTATCTCTGTCTCTGTCTCTGTCTATCTCTCTGTATCTCTAACTCTGTCTCTGTATCTGTTTCTGTCTCTCTATCTCTCTTTGTCTCTCTGTCTCTCTCTGCCTAAATCTCAGTGTCAAGTGTTGCTCCATGTCCTGCTGACGACAAAGACTCTGAACTTCCACCTCAGACACTCACTTCTAGGCCTTTGCATGTGCTGTTATCTACCTAGAATGTGTTTCTCCATGGCTTTCAGGAGGGCTCCCCTGACTACCTGAGTTCACGTGGGGTGGCCCTCCTCAGTGCTCTTAGGGTACTGTACTGTCCCCTGACTGAGGGACCACTTTAGGTCCGTCCACTGTCAAACCCCCAGTAGCTGCCCCTATGCGTGGGACACAGCAAGAGCTAAGTAACCAAATGAATGATTACATGGCTGTGGTTCATCCTAGTGCTTAAAGCCATGATCAGAGTTGAAAAGTTGCTGTATCTTATTCAGATTTCTACTAGCAACATATTCAATAGTAAGCTTTGTTAGTCATCTATAACCCGGTGTAAGTGAAGTTATCAGGTCTTTTTCTGGGAGGAGGTTTAGAGGAGGAAAGGAGAGAGAATGAGTCCTAAAGGAGAGAAGAGGAGTAGAAGGGGCATGTCAAGTAGAAAAGGATGTAGAAAAGGTAGGCTTGGGGTAAAAAGATAATTTTCACCTGCTTGGGTGGTTTATTGAGGGCAGCCTTTTAGGCCTGCTTACCAAAGAGGCCAGTCTTGATGACGCTAGAAATTTGCAGATAATCCTTTTACCATATCAGTGTCAGGCAGCTTATCCACCTCCTCTTGGGCTCTATGACCAAACCCAAGAAGAGCACTGAGGCCCAGCTAAGTCTGGGAGTTCAGTGCACAGGCCCCCCCTTTCGCACAGAGAGTGGTGTCTATGTGTGACATCGTGTCTTAGGGGGGCTTTATGACAGGACAACCTCTTCAACCTTGGCCAGAACAGCTTGTCAAATGCCTCGGGGTGGCTTTAAATCCCCAGTAGTGAGAGACAGCCCCTTTGTACATATCTCATTGTTTCAATTCAGCACAAACAGTGCTGACTGAGCAGCTACAATGTGCCAAGCTCTGTGTGAAGACCCATAGAGACACAAAGATGCAAAAGTGTGTAAGACTCAGTATTTTTTTTTTGTCTTTAAGACTGAGTCTTGATCTGTTGCCCAGGCTGGAGTGCAGTGGCATGATCATGGCTCACTGCAACCTCCACCTCTCAGGTTCAAGAGATTCTCATGCCTCAGGCTACCGAGTGGCTGGGATTACAGGTGTGCATCACCATGCCCAGCTAATTTTTTTGTATTTTTAGTAAAGACAGGGTCTTGTCATGTTGGCCAGGCTGGTCTCAAACTCCTGGCGTCAAGTGATCCACCCGCCTCGGCCTCCCAAAGTATTGAGATTACAGGCGTAAGCCACTGCACCCAGCCAAGACTCAGTCTTACTGCATAACACAATAAGCATATTTTCTAAATCCAAAACAAGAACACAGCCTAACAATTGAATGTCATCTATTCATTCATTCAACCAGTGTCTGCTGAGCTTCCATTTTGGTCCAAGCATTATGCTGAGAGGATCAAAGGTAAACAGGACATACAGCCTACCCTTGAGGAGCTCAAAGACTTCAAACAGACATTTTATGGTTCAAGACAATAACTTCTACCTTCCTGCAAATTTCTGTAAATGTAACAATAATTACAAATCTATGGGTGGTTGAAACTGAGGGATGGATGCCTCAGTTTCACATACACATGAAACATTCACCAAGATAGGCCATATTCTGGACCACGAAACAAATCTCAATGGATTTTAAATTTATTTCAAGTATGTCCTTCAAACACTGTGGAATTAAAAATTACAAATCAGTAACAGATTCCCAGAAAGAGTCTGAGCTCAGACTCACCTAACCCTGCCCCAACCTGACAGTATTTCTCTACCCGCCCTGGTAGCTGATCACAAAAGCCATAAACTCTTGGGAGCTTTATGGCCCTGTCCATCACCTGAGAAATCCTAATACTTATCCTGGCCAACTTAGGGCAAGCTTATATCCCCCTTCCAGTATTGCAGCTGGTGTTCTCTTGAAAGCGCCACCTCCTGGCTGGAGGCCAACCAAGTCAGGACATTACAGCAACTCACAACAGAATAACCCTGCTCCAAGAAATGAGAAACAGCTAATTCCACTGCTTTCAACATCCTGGCTAACCAGAGCTCCTGAGTCTGTCCACGTGACAACTTCACTGCTAGCATAACCAGCATTTGAGAAAGCCAGCACAGTAAACAAAACTACAAGCAAGGACTCTCACACTCACAGTCTACTTTACTCCCCTCCCACCTCCACCAGGGCAGGTGCTGGTGTCCATGGCCAGGAGAGCTAAAGACGGATCACATCACAGGACTCTTTGCAGACATTCCTCAGCACCAGCCTGGAACCTGGTAGCCCCACTGGGTGGCTGGACCCAGAAGAGCAATAGCAATCACTACAGTCTGGCTCTCACGAAGCTCCATCCCTAGGGGAAGTGAGAATGCATCACATCAAGGGGTCACTTTGTGGGACAAAAGAATCTGAACAGTAGCCCCTGAGTTCCAGATTTTTCCCCTGAAATAGTCTACCCAAGTGAGAAGAAATCAGAAAAATTGTAATATGACAAAACAAGGTTCTATAACACCTCCAAAAGACCATACTGGCTCCCCAGCAATGAATGCAAATCAAGAAGAAATCTCTGAATTGCCAGATAAACAATTCAGATGGTTGATTATTAAACTACTCAAGGAGAGACCAGAGAAAAGTGAAAACAAAGAAATGTAAAAAACAATACAGGCTATGGATTGGCCAGGCGCAGTGGCTCACACCTGTAAACCCAGCACTTTGGAAGGCTGAGGCGGGCTGATCACTTGAGGTCAGGAGTTTCAGACCAGCCTGGCCAACACAGTGAAACCCCATCTCTACTAAAAATACAAAAATCAGCCAGGCATGGTGGTGCGTGCCTGTAATACCAGCTATTTGGGAGACTGAGGCAGGGGGATTGCGTGAACCCAGGAGCCAGAGGTTGCAGTGAGCTGAGATTGCACCACTGCACTGTGAGCAACAGAGTGCTCAGAGTCTCAAAAAGGAAAGAAAGAAAGAAAGAAAAAGACAACAAAAAAAATACAGGCTATGGATGAAAAATTCTCCAGAGAAACAGATATTATAAAGAAAAAAAAATCACAATTTCTGCAAATGGAAGACACACTTAAAGAAATAAAAAATGCACTGGAAAGTGTCAACAACAGACTAGAACAAGTATGTAGGATACAATAAAATTCCTCTTCAAAGGTTTAGCCTGTTAACTTCCTTGTTCTTTGTTCTCAAACTCAACTTTCTTGTTCTCTATGCCTCCTTGCCCCTAGTTACTGTAACTGTAAACAACCTTCCTGTCAGTTCTAATCAATAACTCACATCTGTTCCCTTGGTTACCCACTCTTCACCCCTTCCTCCCTTCGAAACCGCACGTCCCACCACTGTAACTCACATTTCCCTTCCCTTCCTTATTTGGGAAAGTATTCACAAATAGCCAGTCGGGTCAGTTTAGATTGTGCAGTCCAACCACAGCCCATGAAGGAGTGACACAGAGGGAGGGATTGCATTAGGAATAAAAACCCCTGCTTTCCTTTGTTCAGTGTGCTCTTGCAATCGTGATTGACACAAGCAGCACCCTTCTGCAGAAGTAAACTGCCTTGCTGAGAAAACTTTCGCCTCAGTGCTGGTTTCACTTTGCAGCACTGAGCATTTATCTCCAACAAATCTGGGGCTCATCCAGGATTCCCATTCTCCTCCAGGGAAGGGGTCTCTGGTCACCTCTCATAAGGAGACGCATCCCACTGCCTCGTTGCGGTGGCCTCAGGGTGAGGGATCGGAACCCACCCGGTGTGACGAATAAATCCGGACTCTCAGCAATGTGGGGAAAAAAAGGCTTGCAACACCATGGTGACCAGGTAACTTTGTGCACAGACCAAGGTAAGAAACGTCACAGGGGTGACAAAGCATTTCCTTGGTGGTCAAGATATTCTGGAGATTGAAAGTGTGTATGAATGATCACAAGCATTACTGCTTGCGGTGCTGCTTGTGTGAATGGTACTAAGCACTACTGCTGTGCGGAATGAGTGTGTCCTATCTGAGGTTCCATGGTCACCTCATATGGCTTAGGACAGATCCTGCCATGGGGTTTATATGGGCGTGCCAAAGGTAAGAGGGACCTAAATTCCCCTCCGGGAAGCGACCAGAGTGGACGAAGCAAAAGAAGGGTGCAAGGAGCCTCCAGCAGGTGGGGCTAAAGGATAGAAATCTCTAGTATGAGGAATTGAGCCTCAATAAGCCTCCAGAAAAGGAGAGGCAAGAAATCTCTAATACGAGGGATTGAGCCTCAGCAAGCCTCCAGAAAAGGATAGGCAAGAAATCTCTAATATGAGGGACTGAGCCTAACTAGGACCCAACATGGGAAACACCCCAAGCAGGACACGGAGTAAAAAGGATAAAGACAGCAATAAAGATATTCCTGCTGTTAGTCCCCTAGGTCTCATGTTAAAATATTGGAAAGATAATGAGAGAACTAAACATAAGAAAAAGCAACAAATGACAAACAATTGCTGTTTTATTTGGACTCAGGGACCCATCCTCAAACCCTCAATCTTTTGGTCAAAGTTTGGGTTGAACAAGGATGTGATGTGTCAACTTCTAATTCAATATGTAAATGATAAAAGTCCAGTTTCTCAAGAAGAATTGGCCTATGCTCTTTGTTGGAGGCAGGGACCTGTCCTCCTCTTTCCCTTAAAGACAACTAGGGAAAAACCCAATCTAGCACCTCAAACTGAAGAGTGAGAAAAGCCAGTCCCCATGCCTAAAGACTCCAGCACATGGGATCCTCTAAACCATCTTCCCCCACGCTCAGTGCCCCTAACCCTTCCCCTCAGGTAGCAGCTGCTGTCCCCGTTCCTGCTCCAGATCCTTCTCCTGCTCATGTTATTCCTCCTCCTTACAATCCTGATTCTTGGGAATCACCATCCCATTAGCCTGTTCCTTCTCAGCCTAAGTACCCCTCCCTAAAAGGACTCCAACGTGAGGTAGAACAATGTAAAAAAGATATCCAAAATTTCCCATTTCCCTCCACATCTATGGAGTCAGCCCCAACTCTCTTCCCCTTAAAAGAGGTGCCACAAGGACAGGGGGGCTATTAATTTTGTGAATGCTCCCTTAACCAGTTCAGAGGTCTGAAGTTTGAAGAAGGAACTTAAGCCGTTATTGGATGACCTTATTGGGTAACAGATCAGGTTGATCAATTCTTAGGACCTCAGTTATACACTTGGGTGGAGTTAATGTCCATCCTAGGCGTCCTCTTTTCTTTTTTTTTTTTTTTTTTTTTGAGACGGAGTCTCGCTCTGTCGCCCAGGCGGGACTGCGGACTGCAGTGGCGCAATCTCGGCTCACTGCAAGCTCCGCTTCCCGGGTTCACGCCATTCTCCTGCCTCAGCCTCCCGAGTAGCTGGGACTACAGGCGCCCGCCACTGCGCCCGGCTAATTTTTTTTGTATTTTTAGTAGAGACGGGGTTTCACCTTGTTAGCCAGGATGGTCTCGATCTCCTGACCTCATGATCCACCCGCCTCGGCCTCCCAAAGTGCTGGGATTACAGGCGTGAGCCACCGCGCCCGGCCTGCGTCCTCTTTTCAGGGGAGGAAAGAAGCATGATCTGTAGGGCTGCTATGGCAATTTGGGAACACGAACACCCTCCTGGTCAAACATTCCTACCGCAGATCAAAAGTTTCCCACCCAAGACCCCCGGTGGGACGATATTAATGCAGCTCACTGGGAAAATATGCAAGACCTAAGGGAAATGATAATAAAGGGAATTAGGGAATCAGTACCCTGAACCCAAAACCTCTCTAAAGCATTTGATATACAATAGGAAAAAGATGAGGGGGCCTATGAAATTTCTAGACAAGAATAAAGGACCAAACAAGACAATATGCAGGCCTAAATTTGGAAGATCTCCTTGGACAGGGAGTGTTAAAGCTCCATTTTGTCACTACAAGTTGGCCAGATATTTCAAAAAAGTTACAAAAATTAGAAGACTGGGAAAACCAACCTCTAAGTGAACTTCTGGGAGAAGCTCAAAAAATATATGTGAGGAAAGAAGCAAAAACAAAAGGCAAAAACTCACGTTATCCACTTTCCAGCAGGTGGCCCCACACCCACATGCTTCTAAACAAAGCTTCCAGGGGGCCAGAAACGATAGACGGTCCAGACCCTCATTTATGCTTCTAAACAAAGCTTCCAGGGGGCCAGAAACTATAAAAGGTCCAGACCCTCGTTTATGCTTCTAAACAAAGCTTCCAGGGGGCCAGAAACTATAAAAGGTCCAGACCCTCATTTATGCTTCTAAACAAAGCTTCCAGGGGGCCAGAAACTATAAAAGGTCCAGACCCTCGTTTATGCTTCTAAACAAAGCTTCCAGGGGGCCAGAAACTATAAAAGGTCCAGACCCTCGTTTATGCTTCTAAACAAAGCTTCCAGGGGGCCAGAAACTATAAAAGGTCCAGACCCTCGTTTATGCTTCTAAACAAAGCTTCCAGGGGGCCAGAAACTATAAACGGTCCGTCCAGACCGTTTGAAGGGCAGGCCACTTCAAAAGAGAATGTCCCAAACTGGAAAAGGAGAAAGAAGCCCTTCAACTCATGACTTTTGAGGAAGAACAGGGGGGTCAGGGGCTCTGTTTATCTCGAGTCCCACCAGGAGCCCTTGATAAATTTACAGGTGGGAACCAAACATGAGCTTATCACCTTTTAGTCAATTCAGGAGTGGCTCGCTCCTCCATTTGCTTCCCCCCATCCAACATTGCCTGCTCTTCAGAAGAACTTTTAGTCTCTGGGGTAAAAGGAGAAGGATTTAAAGCAAAAATCTTAGAAAGTACAGAAGTTAAATACCAAGATCGGCTGACTCATATCCAATTTTTGTTGATCCCTGAGGCAGAAACTAATCTATTAGGAAGAGACTTAATGCTAGAATTAGGCACAGGCTTACAAGTTGGTCCTAAAGGATTCTTTACCTCATTAAACCTACTCACCACCACAGATGAAAAATGCATTAATCCTAGTGTCTGGTCAAGGGAAGGAAACCGGGAGAAACTCTGAATCCCTCCAATCCACATCAAGTTAAGAATCCCCAGGGAAGTAGTAAGGAGGAAACAATACCCCAAACCCCTAGAGGGCAGGATAGGATTAAAGCCTATAATTGAAAGTCTTATTAAAGATGGGCTCCTTGAACCCTGTATGTCCCCGTATAACACTCCAATATTGCCAGTCAAGAAATTAGATGCGTCATACCGACTTGGTACAAGATCTTAGAGCCATCAAATAGTCCAAACTAACCATCCTGTTGTCCCCAACCCATACACCATTCTCAGCAAAATTCCAAAAAACCATCAGTTGTTTACAGTAATAGATTTAAAAGATGCCTTCTGGGCATGCCCCTTGGCTGAAGACAGCTGAGACATATTTGCTTTTGAGTGGTAGGATCCCCATTCAGGGCGAAAACAACATTATTGATGGACAGTTTTACCTCAAGGGTTTACAGACTCTCCAAACCTTTTTGGTCAAATTTTAGAACAAGTGTTAGAAAAAGTTGTCATCCCAAAGCAAATATGCCTGCTCCAGTACATGGATGATATTCTCGTATCTGTTGAAGATGTAGAGAAAGTAGCTGGCTTCTCTACACATATCCTTAACCATCTGGAGTTCGAGGGGTTATGGTTCTTAAAGGGAAAGCTTCAGTATGTGGAGCCTGAAGTTAAATATTTAGGCCACTTAATAAGTGCAGGTAAGCAAAGGATAGGACCTGAACGAGTTGAAGGCATCGTGTCCTTACCCTTGCCTCAAACTAAGCAATAACTCAGAAAATTTCTAGGATTAGTTGGATATTGATGCTTATGGATTGACTCATATGCCCTAAAAAGTAAACTTTTATATGAAAAGCTTACCCAGTGGAAACTGGACCGTCTCCTGTGGACTTCTGAGGAAGTCAATCAGGTTGAAGAGCTGAAATACAAACTCATAACTGCCCCTGTCTTAGCCTTAGCTTCCCTAGAAAAGCCATTTCATCTTTTTGTTAATGTAAATAACGGGGTAGCTTTAGGGGTTCTTACTCAAGAACATGGTGGTCACCGGCAGCCCGTAGCCTTCCTATCAAAAATTTTAGACCCAGTCACCTGTGGGTAGCCTCAGTGCATCCAATTCGTTGCAGCTACAGCAGTATTAGTTGAAGAAAGTAGAAAATTAATCTTTGGGGGGAAATTGACTGTAAGCACACCCCACCAAGTTAGAGCTATTTTAAATAAAAAAGCAGGAAGGTGGCTCACTGACTCCAGAATCTTAAAATAGGAGGCTATTTTACTAAAAAGATGATTTAACCTTGACTACTGATAACTCACTCAATCCGAGAGGTTTCTTAACAGGGGACCCAAATCTAAAAAGAGAACACTTATGTCTAGATCTAACTGACTACCAAACAAAGGTCAGGCCGGATCTAAGAGAGACCCCTTTCAAAATGGGGTGACACTTATTTATAGATGGTTGATCCCAAGCAATTAAAGGAGAAAAATACAATGGGTATTCAGTAATTGATGGAGAAACTCTTGAAGAAACAGAGTCAGGAAGGTTGCCCAATAGTTGGTCTGCCAAAGCATGTGAACTATTTGCACTCAGCCAGGTTTTAAAACACTTACAGAGCAAGGAAGGAACTATTCATACTGATTCTAAATACATTTTTGGAGTAGCTCATATATTTGGAAAAATTTGGGCTGAGCAAGGTCTTATTAATACTAAAGGCCAGGCCAGGCGCGGTGGCTCATGCCTGTAATCCCAGCACTTTGGGAGGCTGAGGTGGGCGGATCACGAGGTCAGGAGATCAAGACCATCCTGGCTAACATGGTGAAACCCCGTCTCTACTAAAAATACAAAAAAATTAGCCAGGTGTGGTAGCGGGATCCTGTAGTCCCAGCTACTCAGGAGGCTGAGGCAGGAGAATGGCGTGAACCCGGGAGGTGGAACTTGCAATGAGCTGAGATCGTGCCACTGCACTCCAGCCTGGGTGACAGAGCAAGACTCCGTCTCAAAAAAACACCAAAAAACAAAAAAAAACTAAAGGCCAAAATATCTTACCCACGAGGAGCTAATCGTCCATGTTTTAAACAATCTCCAGTTGCCAGAAGAAATAGCCATTGTACATGTCCCCGGACACCAAAACGACTTTTCCTTTACAAGTCAGGGAAATAACCTTGCAGATCAAGTGGCTAAACAGGCTGCCATTTCATCTGAAACACCTTTCACTTAACCCCTCGTCTTCCTCCCCCTGCTGCAACCCCTACCTTGTCTGCTGCAGAAAAGGAAAAATTAATAAAAATGGAGCCAAAGAAAACTCAGAAGGAAAATGGGTGTTACCAGATCAAAGAGAAATGCTATTCAAACCGCTCATGAGAGAAATCCTACCCACCTGCATCAAGGGACACACTGGGGACCCCAAGCCATGTGTGACACAGTTCTCAGGGTTTATGGGTATATACCCTAGCCAAACAGGTTATGGATAGTTGCTTAACATGTAAGGAAACCAACAAACAAGTTATAAAGAAATCATCCCTGGGCGGGGAGGGATTCAGGGCTAAGACCATTCCAAAGTGTTCAAACTGATTACATTGAAATGCCCCCAATCGGTTGCCTAAAGTACTTAGTAATAGCAGATCACCTCACTCACTGGGTCGAAGCTATTCCCTTTTCAAATGCAATGGCCAATCATGTAGTTAAAGCATTAATTGAAAATATAGTGCCCAGGTTTGGGCTAATAGAAAATATTGACTCAGACAGTGAAACCTATTTCATAGCACATATCATTAAAAAGCTATCCTAAGCGCTAGACATTAGATGGAAATATCATACTCCTTGGCACCCACCTTCATCAGGGAGAGTAGAAAGGATGAATCAGACCTTAAAGAACCATTTAACCAAGTTAGTTCTATAGATTCGGTTGCCAGGGATCAAATATCTTCCTATTGCCCTGTTAAGAATCCAAACGGCGGTTCCACCGCTGTCGCCGCCGTAGTGCGGCATGCCGCTCGGCGGAGGGGCCGGGCCTGCGTTCTCTCCTCCTTCCTCCCCGCCTCTGGCTGCCGGCAGGACCTTTCTCTCGCTGCTACTGGGACCCCGTGTCATAGCCCAGGCTGAGCACGATGCCCCCTCAAAAGGGAGGTGATGGAATTAAACCACCCCCAATCATTGGAAGATTTGGAACCTCACTGAAAATTGGTATTGTTGGATTGCCAAATGTTGGGAAATCTACTTTCTTCAATGTATTAACCAATAGTCAGGCTTCAGCAGAAAACTTCCCATTCTGCACTATTGATCCTAATGAGAGCAGAGTACCTGTGCCAGATGAAAGGTTTGACTTTCTTTGCCAATATCACAAACCAGCAAGCAAAATTCCTGCCTTTCTAAATGTAGTGGATATTGCTGGCCTTGTGAAAGGAGCTCACAATGGGCAGGGCCTGGGGAATGCTTTTTTATCTCATTTTAGTGCTTGTGATGGCATCTTTCATCTAACACGTGCTTTTGAAGATGATGATATCACACATGTTGAAGAAAGTGTAGATCCTATTCGAGATATAGAAATAATACATGAAGAGCTTCAGCTTAAAGATGAGGAATGACTGGGCCCATTATAGATAAACTAGAAAAGGTGGCTGTGAGAGGAGGAGATAAAAAACTAAAACCCAAATATGATATAATGTGCAAAGTAAAATCCTGGGTTATAGATCAAAAGAACCTGTTCGCTTCTATCATGATTGGAATGACAAAGAGATTGAAGTGTTGAATAAACACTTATTTTTGACTTCAAAACCAATGGTCTACTTGGTTAATCTTTCTGAAAAAGACTACATTAGAAAGAAAAACAAATGGCTGATAAAAATTAAAGAGTGGGTGGACAAGTATGACCCAGGTGCCTTGGTCATTCCTTTTAGTGGGGCCTTGGAACTCAAGTTGCAAGAATTGAGTGCTGAGGAGAGACAGCAGTATCTGGAAGCGAACATGACACAAAGTGCTTTGCCAAAGATCATTAAGGCTGGGTTTGCAGCACTCCAACTAAAATACTTTTTCACTGCAGGCCCAGATGAAGTGCGTGCACGGACCATCAGGAAAGGGACTAAGGCTCCTCAGGCTGCAGGAAAGATTCACACAGATTTTGAAAAGGGATTCATTATGGCTGAAGTAATGAAATATGAAGATTTTAAAGAGGAAGGTTCTGAAAATGCAGTCAAGGCTGCTGGAAAGTACAGACAACAAGGCAGAAATTATATTGTTGAAGATGGAGATATTATCTTCTTCAAATTTAACACACCTTAACAACTGAAGAAGAAATAAAATTTAGTTACTGCTCAGATAAACATACAACTTCCAAAAGGCATCTGATTTTTTAAAAATTAAAATTTCTGAAAACCAATGGGACAAATAAAGTTGGGGAGATGGGAATCTTTGACAAACAAATTATTTTTGTTTTAAAATTAAAATACTGTGTACCCTCTCCCCCCAATGAAATGCAAGTTCACTAAATGTGAACACCTTTGCTTTTCATGTGATTAAGACCCTACTCCAAATTATAGAAGCTTTTCAAGAACCATGTTACTCTCATGATACTTCATTAATCTCCATCATGTATGCCAAGCCTAACACATTTGACAGTGAGAACAATGTGGCTTGCTCCTTTTTGAATCTACAGATAATGCATGTTTTATAGTACTCCAGATGTCTACACTCAATAAAACATTTGACAAAACCAAATAAAAAAAAAAGAATCCAAACTGCTCCTCGAAAAGATACTGGCCTTTCCCCTTACAAGATGCTCTATGGATTGCCTTATTTACACTCCACTGCTGATGTTCCAAAAACACCAGTTCCTCAGGAATTATATTCTTAGTCTCTCCCCTACTTTCTCTTTTCTTAAAACCAAAGGTCTCCTAGCACAGGCTCTGCCTCTGGAGTTCCCAGTACATCAACATCAGCCTGGGGATCACGTCCTTATCAAGAGCTGAAAAGAGGAGAAACTTGAGCCAGCCTGGGAAGGACCTTACCTGGTGCTTCTAACCACTGAAACTGCAGTCCGGACAGCAGAAAAAGGATAGACCCATCACACCTGAGTCAAGAAAGCACTGTCACCTCCAGAGTCATGGGCCATTATCCCAGGGGAAAACCCCCTCAAACTAAAGCTAAGAAAAGTTTAACTCTCTTTCGTCTACTCTATTACTCTTTCTTCTTTCCTCATTCTGTTGCTGACCACCTTGTTATCAATGTGACTAAATCAAACTCACCCCAAGTTATTATGTTTGATGCCTGTTTAGTCATACCCTGTAGAGATCTCCAAAGTCAAAGGCAACTCTCAGCCTTAGAAAAGTATCTCTGCCACTTTAAAATAAAAGGCTCCCGCTACCAAGACTCTTGCTCCTCATAAAATATAGGGAAACAGGTCTGCCATAGCTGGAATGATGTTCTGTGGACAACTGAGTATCAAGGCTGGACCTCATCAACATGTGGCTGTATATACTTAAAATCATACATTCACTTTACTAAAGGAAGCACCCCTCCCCTCGATTTTCAGTATAACCAGTGTAATCCAGTGCAGATTTCTACTCTCACTCCGGCCTCTACCGACCCTCTAGACCTACTTTGAGTCGCTTCTATGGCATAGGGACCAACGCGGCACAGACCTCATAGGGTCTTTTGAAATGCGTTTTATTAATCCCTCATCCTCTTCACCCTCTTCCCTCTCTTCTCCTTCTAAGCCTTCTTCTAATCAGACTGCCATACCTTCTATACCCAATGATAAGACTAAAGTAGATATTGTAGAAGTAAATGATCTAAGGCAAACTTTAGCAATTGAAACAAAATATCAAGATGCAAATGCCTGGTTGGAATGGACCAAATATTCTGTCCGCACATGAAACAAAAGCAATTGTTATGCTTGTGCTCACGGCCAGCCAGAGACCCAGATAGACCCCTTTACACTCGGCTGGTCCCCCAGTCAACCAGGCATGGGCAGCATGGTAGCTCTCTTCCAGGATTCCATAGCTTGGGGCAATCAATCATGCCAAGCTCTCTCTTTGCTCTATCCCAAAGTTCAATATCCTGCGGGTCAGCCCCAGAGGGCCATCCAGCTTCTGGCTCCCAATGTCAATTTCACGTCCTGTCTCTCACGACAAGGGGAAAACTTGGTGTTCCTTGGAAGCTTAACAGGATGCAGTGAGCTTAAGCCTTTCCAAGAGCTTACCCATCAGTCTGCCCTTAGTCATCCTCAAGAAGATGTATGGTGGTATTGTGGCGGACCCTTACTGGACACTCTGCCAAGTAACTGGAGTGGTACCTGCACTCTTGTCCATTTGGCTATCCCTTTCACCCTGGCGTTTCATCAGCCAGAAAAAGAAAAGCCACAACACCATAAAATAAGAGAAGCCCCTTATAGGTTTTTTGACTCTCAAGTTTATTTAGATGCAACTGGAGTCCCATGGGGAGTACCTGATAAATTAAAAGCCCGGGACCAAATAGTCTGCAGGATTTGAATCAATATTTCCATGGGTAACTATTAATAAAAATGTAGACTGTATAAATTACATCTATTATAACCAACAGCAGTTTATTAATTATACCAGGGATGCTGTCAAAGGAATAGCTGAGGAGTTAGGGCTGACTAGCCAGATGGCTTAGGAAAACAGAATGGCCCTAGGCATGATACTAGCTGAAAAAGGTAGAGTTTGTGTTATGATTAAAACTCAGTGTCGTACCTTCATCCCAAACCATACTGCCCCAGATGGGAGCATAACAAAAGCCTTACAAGGACTTACCATTTTATCTAATGAATTAGCTAAAAATTCTGGAGTCAATAACCCTTCTTCAGGATGGCTAGACAGGTGGTTTGGTAAATAGAAAGGAATCATAGCCTCAATTCTTACTTCTCTTGCAGTCATAATAGGTGTACTCATTCTTGTTGGGTGTTGTGTCACACCATGCAACCATGGGCTAGTACAAAGGCTTATAGAAACAGCACTTACTAAAATCTCCCTTAGCTCTCCTCCACCTTATTCAGATAAGCGTTTCCTTTCAGACGATCAAGTCAAACAGCAAAGCCAAGACATCTTAAAAAGGTTTGAAGAGGAAGAACTATAAAAATTAAAAGGGGGAAATTGTAGGATACAATAAAATTCTTCAAAGGTTTAGCCTGTTAACTTCCTTGTTCTTTGTTCTCAAACTCAACTTTCTTGTTCTCTATGCCTCCTTGCCCCTAGTTACTGTAACTGTAAACAACTTTCCTGTCAGTCCTAATCAATAACTCACATCTGTTCCCTTGGTTACCCACTCTTCACCCGTTCCTCCCTTTGAAACCGCACATCCCACCATTGTAACTCACATTTCCCTTCCCTTCCTTATTTGGGAAAGTATTCACAAATAGCCAATTGGGTCAGTTTAGATTGTGCGGTCCAACCACAGCCCATGGAGGAATGACAAAGAGGCAGGGACTGCATTAGGAATAAAAACCCCTGCTTTCCTTTGTTCAGTGTGCTCTTGCAATCGTGATTGACACAAGCAGCACCCTTCTGCAGAAGTAAATTGCCTTGCTGAGAAAATTTTTGCCTGAGTGCTGGTTTCGCTTTGTGGCACTGAACATTTATCTCCAACAAGTAGAAGAAAGAACTTCAGAGCTTGAAGACAAAGCATTTGAAGTAACTCAACCAGACAAAGACAAATAAAAAAGAATTTTTTTTTTTTGAGACAGTCTCGCTCTGTTGCCCAGGCTGGATGGAGTGCAGTGGCGTGATCTCGGCTCACTGCAAGCTCTGTCTCCTGGGTTCATAGCATTCTCCTACCTCAGCCTCCTGAGTAGCTGGGACTACAGGCGACCGCCACCACACCTGGCTTATTTTTTGTATTTTTAGTAGAGATGGGGTTTCACCGTGTTAGCCAGGATGGTCTCGATCTCCTGACCTTGTGATCTGCCTGCCTCGGCCTCCCAAAGTGCTGGGATTACAGGCGTGAGCCACTGCGCCCGGCGAATATGAATTTTTAAAAATGAACAAAGCTTCCAAGAAATTTGGGATTACGTTAAACAGCCAGACCTAAGAATAATTGGTGTTCCTCAGGAAGAAGAGAAATCTAAACATTTAGAAAGCTTATTGGAGGGAATAATCAAGGAAAAGTTCCTTGCTCTCACCAGAGATCTAAACATCTAAATACAAGAAGCTGAAAGAACACCTGAAAAATTCATTGCAAAAAGATAATTACCTAGGCACACAGTCATCAGGTTATCTAAAGTCAAGATGAAGGGAAACATCTTAAGAGCCATGAGGCAAAAGCATCAGGGAACCTACAATGGAAATCCTATCAGATTAACAGCAGATTTCTCAGCAGAAACCCTATAAGCCAGAAGGGATTGGGGTCCTATCTTTAGCCTCCTCAAACAAAATAATTGCCAGCCAAGAATTTTGTATCCAGCAAAACTATGCTTCATAAATGAGGAGAGATAAAGTCTTTTTCAGACAAACAAATGCTGAGAGAATTTGCCACTAGCAAGCCAGCACTACAAGAAATGTCAAAAGGAGTTCTAAATCTTGAAACAAAAATAGAACCTCCTTTAAGTATATGTTTTAAAAGGCTTATAAAACAATAACACAATTTAAAAAAGCACAACTATCACTATGAATAAAACACTATCTCATAATTCAATACCAACATTGAATGTAAATGGCCTGAATGCTCCACTTAAAAGACACAGAATGGATAAAATTCACCAACCAACCATCTGCTGTCTTCAAGAGACTCATCTAATGCATAGGGACTCACATAAACTTAAGGTAAAGGGGTAGAAAAAGATACTGCACGCAAATGGAAACCAAAAGCAAGTACGAGTAGCTATTCTTTTTTTTTTTTCTTTGAGATGGAGTCTCGCTCTGTTGCCCAGGCTGGAGTGCAGTGGCACGATCTCGGCTCACTGCAACCTCTGCCTCCTGGGTTCAAACAATTCTCCTGCCTCAGCCTCCCAAGTAGTTGGGACTACAGGCATGCGCCACCATGCCCAGCTAAATTTTTTGTATTTTTAGTAGAGACAGGGTTTCACCATGTTAGCCAGGATGGTCTCAATCTCCTGACCTCATGATCTGCCTGCCTTGGCCTCCCAAAGTGCTAGGATAATAGATGTGAGCTGGCCAAGAGTAGCTATGTTTTTTTGTTTTTGTTTTTTTTTCTGAGACTAAGTCTTGCTCTGTCACCAGGCTGGAATGCAGTGGCGCTAACTTGGCTCACTGCAACCTCTGCCTCCTGAGTTCAAGCAATTCTCCTGCCTCAGCCTCCCGAGTAGCTGGGACTACAGGGGCATGCCACCACACCAAGCTAATTTTTGTATTTTTAGTAGAGATGGGGTTTCACAATGGTGGCAAAGATGATCTCAATCTCCTGACCTCGTGATCCACCTGTCTCAGCCTCCCAAAGTGCTGGGATTACAGGCATGAGCCATCATGCCTTGCCGAGTAGCTATTCCTATATCACACAAACAGACTTTAAAGCAACAACGGTTAAAAAAAAGACAAAAAGGGGCCAGGCGTGGTAGCTCACACCTGTAAACCCAGCACTTCGGGAGGCCAAGGCGGGTGGATCATGAGGTCAGGAGATCGAGACCATCCTGGCTAACATGGTGAAACCCCGTCTCTACTAAAAAAATACAAAAAAATGAGCTGGGCATGGTGGTGGGTGCCTGTAGTCCCAGCTACTCTGGAGGCTGAGGCAGGAGAATGGTGTGAAGCCGGGAGGTGGAGCTTGCAGTGAACCGAGATTGCGCCACTGCACTCCAGCCTGGGCAACAGAGTGAGACTCTGTCTCAAAAAAAAAAAAAAAAAAAAAAAAGACAAAAAGGGACATTACATAACGATAAAAGATCAGTCCAGCCGGGCGCAGTGGCTCACACCTGGAATCCCAGCACTTTGGGAGGCTGAGACGGGCGGATTACGAGGTCAGGAGATCAAGACCATCCTGGCTAACATGGTGAAACCCCGTCTCTACTAAAAATACAAAAAAATTAGCCGGGTGTGGTGGTGGGCACCTGTAGTCCCAGCTACTCGGGAGGCTGAGGCAGGAGAATGGCATCAATCCAGGAGGCGGAGCTTGCAGTGAGATGAGAGCTGAGATCACGCCACTGCACTCCAGGCTGGGCAGACAGAGCGAGACTCTGTCTCAAAAAAAAAAAAAAAATCAGTCCAACAGGAAAATATCACAATCCTAAATACATATGCACCTTAATGGGCCAGGCACAGTGGCTCACACCTGTAATCCCAGCACTTTGGGAGGCTGAGGCAGGCGGATCACTTGAGTTCAGGAGTTCGAGTCCAGCCTGACCAACACGATGAAACCCCATCTCTACTAAAAATACAAAATTTAGCTGGGCATGGTGGCAAGCACCTGTACTGCCAGCTACTCGGGAGGCTCAGGCAGGGAAATCACTTGAACCCAGGAGGCAGAGGTTGCAGTGAGCCAAGATCACGCCACTGCACTCTAGCCTGGGCAACAGACCAAGACTCCATCTCAAAAACAAACAAACAACAAAAAAAAAACAGGTAAAGATGATACAGATTAACATCCTCATAAACACAGATGCAAATATTAACAAAATCTTATCACATTGAAAATAATATGTAAATATATACAACATTATCTATAGCATTTACTCCCAGGAATGCAAGGTTGGTTCAACATTCAAAAACCAATAAATGAAATTAACCATATTAACAGACAGAAAAAGAAAAATTCCATGATTATATCAATAGATGCATAAAATATATTTCACAAAATCAACATCTGAACCTCAAAGAAAAGAAAATTCCCAGCAAACGAGGAATTCATGGAAACATTTTCAATCCGATGAGGGGTATCTACGAAAAACCTACAGCTAGCAACATACTCAATGGTAAAATACTAAATGCTTTGTTCCTAAGTTCAGAAATGTCTTTATTTATTTATTTATTTATTTATTTATTTATTTTGAGACAGACTTTCACTCTTGTCACCCAGGCTGTAGTGTAAGGGCACAATCTTGGCTCACTGCAACCTCCGCCTCCCAGGTTTAAGTGATTCTCCTACCTCAGCCACCTGAATAGCTAGGATTACAGGTGCCTGCCGCCACGCCCAGCTAATTTTTGTATTTCTAGTAGAAACGGGGTTTCACCATGTTGGCCAGGCTGGTCTCAAATTCCTGATCTCAGGTGATCCACCCACCTTGGCCTCCCAAAGTATTGGCATTACAGACATGAGCCACCACAGCTGGCCAGGAATGTCTTAATTTAAGGCAAAAAAAGTCTGCCCTCATTGCTTTTTTTTTTGAGGCAGAGTCTCGTTCTGTCACCTAGGCTGGAGTGCAATGGCATGATCTCAGCTCACTGCAACCTCTGCCTCTCAGGTTCAAGCGATTCTCCTGCCTCAGCCTCCCAAGTAGCTGGAATTATAGGTGTGCACCATCACGCCAAGCTAAATTTTGTATTTTTAGTAGAGATGGGGTTTCACCATGTTGGCCAGGCTGGTCTCGAACTCCTGACCTCAGGTGATCCGCCTGCCTCGGCCTCCCAAAGTGCTGGGATTACATGCATGAGCCACCGCACCCGGTCTACCCTCATCACTTCTGTATGATATTGTGCTAGAAGCTCTAGCCAGTGAACAAGTCAAAAAAGAGAAGTAAAAGGCAATCAGATTGGAAAGAAAGAAATAAAACTGTATTTTCAAATAACATGATTGTGTGTAAAATCCTGTGGGATCATCCAAAAAGCAACTACAGCTTAACAAGGCTGAAGGATGCAAGATCACTGTATTAAAATCAATTATATTGCTATATAATAGGAATAAACAATTGGGAATTAAAACTTCTTAAAAACCAGTTATAACAGCATCCAAAATATAAAATACATAGACAAAAAATATAACAAAAGCTACATGCAAAATCATACACTAATAACTACAAAACATTGCTGAGAGAAATTAAAGACGATGTAAATCAATGAAGAGCCATACCATGGTCATGAATCAGAAGACTCAACATTTTAAAGATGTCAGTTCCTCTCAAATTAATCTATAGATTCAGTGTAATCAATAAAAATTCCAGCAATTTTCTTGTTGAAATTGATTGCTTTTTCTAAAATTCATAGAGGAATGCAACTCAGGCCGGGCAAAGTGGCTCATGCCTGTAATCCCAGCACTTTGAGAGGCCAAGTCAGGTTGGTTGCTTGAGTCCAGGAGTTCGAGACAAGCCTGGGCAACGTGGTTAAACCCTGTCTCTACAAAAAGTACAAAAATTAGCTGGGTGTGGTGGTGCATGCCTGTAATTCCAGCTACCCGGGAGCCTGAGGCAGGAGAATCTTTTGAACCTGGGAGGCAGAGGTTGCAGTGCACCGAGATCGTGCCACTGCACTTCAGCCTGGGCGACAGAGTGAGACTCCATCTCAAAAAAAAAAAATACAGTTATGAACATGTTGAAAAAATAAAAAAGAGTCTCAGCATAGAAATAGGAGATATAAGGAAGAATCAGATAGAAATTTTAGAAATAGAAAATACAACAACGAAATAAAAAGCTCAGTGAATGGGCTCAAAAGTGGAAAAGAGGACAACACA
Source organism: Homo sapiens (assembly GCF_000001405.40). Taxonomy (NCBI): domain Eukaryota; kingdom Metazoa; phylum Chordata; class Mammalia; order Primates; family Hominidae; genus Homo; species Homo sapiens. Next base: position 4,215 of record NW_014040930.1, on the reverse strand, counting down.
AGCAGTTAACTGGAAGACAGGACAACAGAAATTACTCAATCTGAACAACAGAGAGAAAATGGACTGGAAAAAGTAAACAAGAAAGAAAAGAGAAAATAAAAGAGGCCGGTACAGTGGCTCATGCCTGTAACCCCAGCACTTTGGGAGGCTGAGGTGGGTGGATCATGAGGTCAGGAGATCGAGACCATCCCTGGCTAACACGGTGAAACCCCGTCTCTGCTAAAAATACAAAAACGAAATTAGCCGAGCATGGTGGTGGGCACCTGTAGTCCCAGCTACTCGGGAGGCTGAGGCGGGAGAATGGTGTGAACCCGGGAGGCAGAGCCAAGATCGCGCCACTGTACTCCAGCCTGGGCGACAGAGCGAGACTCCATCTCAACCAAAAAAAAAAAAAAAAAAAAAAAAAAAAGAAGAAAAGAAAAGAAACAAATAATAAACACAACCTCAGGGCCTGTGAGACTGTTAATAAAAGATCAGAGTGGGGCATGATAGCTCATCCCTGTAATCCCAGCATTTTGGTAGACAGAGGCAGAAGGATTGCTTGAGCCCAGGAGTTTGGGGCCAGCCTGGACAACATAGGAGGGGGCCGGGCGTGGTGGCTCTCGCCTGTAATCCCAGCACTTTGGGAGGCCAAGGCAGGCGGATCATGAGGTCAAGAGATTGAGACCATCCTGGCCAACTTGGTAAAACCCCGTCTCTACCAAAAATTCAAAAATTAGCCAGGCATGGTGGCAGGCACCTGTAATCCCAGCTACTCAGGAGGTTGAGGCACGAGAATCACTGGAATCTGGGAGGCAGACATTGCAGTGAGCCAAGATCATGCCACTGCACTCCAGCCTGGTGAAAGAGCGAGACTCCGCCTCAAAAACAAAAAAATTGAGTGTGGTGGTGCACACCTGTGGTCCCAGCTACTCTGGGGACTGAAGTGGGAGGAACGCTTCGGCCTGGAAGGTCTAGGTTGCAGTGAGCCATGATTCTGCCACTGTACTCCAGCCTGGATAACAGAGCAAGACCCTGTCTCAAAAAAATACATTAATAAATAAATAATCAAATGAACAAATATTCAAAGAAAACTTTCCTACTTGGCAAAATGCATAAAACAATAGATTCAAGAAGCTGAGAGAATTCCAATTGGGATAAACCCAAAGAAGTTCACACCAAGATACATTATAGTCAAACTTCTGAAAACAAAACAAAAAAATTTTTTGAAAGCAGCCAGAGAAAAACAATATGTTACTTATATAGAAAAAATAATTTGAATGACAGCTTATTTCTCATCAGAGACAACAGAAACCAGAAAGAAGTGACACAACACTTTTCCATTGTTAAAAAAACTATCAACTCAGAATCCCATATCCAATGAAAATATCCTTCAAGAATGCTGGGGGAAATTGTAAAATTCTCAAAGGAAGGAAAACTAAAAGAATTTGTCACCAACTAATATGTGCCCAGTTGGTTTTTTACAAAGGTGCTGATGCAATTCAATGGAGGAAAAATGGCTTTTCAACAAATGGTTCTGGAGTAATCAGATATTCATAGGCAAGAAAATGAACCTTGAAATAAATCTTACATTATATACAAAAATTACAACAAGGTGCAGTGGCTCATGCCTATAATTCCAGCATGGCAGGTAGATCACTTGAAGTCAGGAGTTCAAGACCAGCCTGGCCAACGTGGTGAAACCCTGTCTCTACTAAAAATACAAAAATTAGCTGGGCGTGATGGTGCGCATCTATAATTCCAGCTACTTTGGAGGATGAGACACCAGAATCGCTTGAACCTGGGAGGCAGAGGTTGCAGTAAGCCAAGATCATGCCACTGCACTCCAGCCTGGGTGAGGGAATAAGACTGTCTCAAAGAAAAACAAAAACCAAAAAACAAAAACCAAACCAAACCATGGACTTAAATGTACATCATCAAACATTTAGGAGAAAATCTTCTGGACCTAGAGCTACACAAGGCATTTTTAGTCTTGACACTAAAAGCACAATCCATAACAGGAAAAATAATAAAATAGATTTCATCAAAATTAAGCACTTTTACTCTGTGAAAGACCCTGTTCAGAGGATGAAAAGGCATAGAGTGGGAGAAAATATTTGCAAACTACGTATCTGATAAAGGACTAGTATCTAGAATATATAAAGAACTCCCAAAACTCAAAAATAAATAATCTAAATAAAAATGTGCAAAAGACATGAAAAAGCACTTCAGTAAAGAGAATATACACATTGGAAATAAACTTGGGAAAGGATGTTCAATATCACTAGCCATTAAGGAAATGCAAACTAAAACTACAATGGGCTATCCCTGTACACTTATTCCAAATGGCTAAATGTAAACAGTTGCTACACCAAATGTAGAAGAGGATGTGGAGAAACTAGATCACTCATGAATTGCCAATGAGAATGTAAAATGATTCAGTTATTCTGGAAAACAATTTGGTAGTTTTTTTTTTTTTTCCCTGAGACGGAGTCTTGCTCTGTCACCCAGGCTGGAGTGCAGTGGTGTGATCTCGGCTCACTGCAACCTCTGCCTCCTGGGCATGGTGGCGTACGCCTATAATCCCAGCTACTTGGAAGGCTGAGGCAGGAGAATCGCTTGAACCCGGGAGGCGGAGGTTACAGTGAGCTGAGATCGTGCCATCGCACTCCAGCCTGGGTGACAGAGTGAGACTCCATATCAAAAAAAATAAAAATAAAAAAAGAGAGAGAGGAAAAAGAGGTTTAATTGATTCAGTTCTGCAGGCTGTGCAAGCATGGCTCCAGCATCTGCTCCTGGTGAGGGCCTCAGGAAGCTTCAAATCCCAGCAGAAGGAAAAGGGAGAGCAGGGATGTCACATGGTGACAGCAGGAACAAGAGAGCAAAGCGGGAGATGCCACACACCTTTAACAACCAGATTACAGATGAACTCACTCATCACCAAGGGGATGGTGCTAAGCCGTTCATGAGGGATCTGCCTCCATGATCCATTCACCTTCCACCAGGCTTCAACTCCAACACTGGGGATGACATTTTGACGAGATTTGGAAGGGACAAATATCCAAACCGTATCACCATATTTTGTGTTTTGTTTAGGTTTGTTTTTTTGTCACCCAGGCTGGAGTACAGTGGTAGGATCATAGTTTATGGTAGCCTCGAACTCCTGGCTTCAAGCAATCCTCCTACCTCAGCCCCTCGAGTAGCTGGGACTATAGACACGTACCACCATGCTTGGCTATTTTAAACAAATTTTTGTAGAGATGCTATCGGGCAAAATTCACCCCTGATATTTCACGTAGGTTCTTTTCTATTTTCCCTAAGTGTCGGCCGGTCTGAGAAATAAAGGGACAGAGTACAAAAGAGATAAATTTTAAAGCTGGGTGTCCGGGGGAGACGTCACATGTCAGCAGGTTCCGTGATGCCCCCTGAGCCATAAAACCAGCAAGTTTTTATTATCGATTTCAAAAGGGAAGAGAGTGTACGAATAGGGTGTGGGTCACAGAGATCACATGCTTCACAAGGTAATAAGATATCACAAGGTAAATGAAGGCAGGGCGAGTTCACAGGACCACAGGACCGGGGCGAAATTAAAATTGCTAATGAAGTTTTGGGCATGCATTGTCACTGATAACATCTTATCAGGAGACAGGGTTTGAGAGCAGACAACCGGTCTGACCAAAATTTATTAGGTGGGAATTTCCTCATCCTAATAAGCCTGGGAGCGCTACAGGAGACTGGGGCTTATTTCATCCCTACAGCTGTGACTGTAAAATACAGCCACCCCCCAAGTGGCCATTTCAGAGGCCTACCCTCAGGGACGCATTCTCTTTCTCAGGGGCGTTCCTTGCTGAGAAAAAGAATTCAGCGATATTTCTCCCATTTGCTTTTGAAAGAAGAGAAATATGGCTCTGTTCCGCCCGGCTCACTGGCAGTCAAGAGTTTAAGGTTATCTCTCTTGTTCCCTGAACGTTGCTGTTATCCTGTTCTTTTTTCAAGGTGCCCAGATTTCATATTATTCAAACACACATGCTCTACAAACAATTTGTGCAGTTAATGCAATCATCACAGGGTCCTGAGGCGACATACATCCTCCTCAGCTTACGAAGATGACGGGATTAAGAGATTAAAGACAGGAATAGGAAATCACAAGGCTATTGATTGGGGAAGTGATAAGTGTCCATGAAATCTTCACAATTTATGTTCAGAGACTGCAGTAAAGACAGGTGTAAGAAATTA